>NW_003315972.2:0-96924 GCF_000001405.40 Homo sapiens
AAAGGAGCCTTCTGGTGGGTTCATTGAGTTCTGCCTCCAAAGCACACACCCAGCAGAGAAGCCCCGAGAAAGTGCTGGGCCCAGCTAAGCACCCCAGATCTTGTGCCCAGGGACACACCTGGACCTCCCAGACAATCCTGGGAGGGATTTTCCAGGGGTGTGGAGTTCGTGGTGAGGCAGAGCCAGCCAACAGAAGAACGCATCAGTCTGATTATGTAGTTAGTTTAGAACCCAACCCAATTTCGGGAGTCCCTAGCTCTGGGAGATTGCTCCCACCTTTGTCACCACCAAAATGCATCATCTTTCTTCCGTTTCTCTAGTGTTGTGTGTATGACTCCGATTTGTGATGTATCCCCCGCCACCTGGAGAGGCAAGGAGGTCTGTCATCCACCTGGGAGGTCCGGCTGTCCAGGGCGGGCGTCACCTGTTGGGGGTGCCAATAAAGATGCCGCCTAAGGGAACCACATCCTGATAATCATGTTCTGAGCCATGGGGGAACCCTGCTGCACTCCAGCCTCAGACTCTGGGACAGGTTGGAGCCCCAGTGACTCTCACATGGAGATAGGACATCCCTCTGGGGGACATTGTGAGCCACAACCTCAACCCCA
The DNA here is from genome assembly GCF_000001405.40 of Homo sapiens. NCBI lineage: Eukaryota > Metazoa > Chordata > Mammalia > Primates > Hominidae > Homo > Homo sapiens. The sequence continues at coordinate 609 of NW_003315972.2, forward strand.
TTTGGGCTGGGGATTCTCTGTTCCCAGGGTCCTGTGTGAACCGCAGCTGCTGAATGGTGTGCAGAATTGGAAGAGTTATGATCAAAAGCCAGTTCCTGTGTGAATTTAAGGGTGCTGGGTGGTTAGTCCAGGGGCCTACTGAGAACTTGTCCTATTCTTTTTTATTTTTATTTTTGACAGAGTGTCGCTCTGTTGCCAGGCTGGAGTGCAGTGGAGTGATCTTGGCTTACTGCAATCTCTGCCTCCCAGGTTCAAGCGATTCCCCTGCCTCAGCCTCCCGAGTAGCTGGGACTACAGGTGCACACCAACACGCCTGGCTAATTTTTTGTATTTTAGTAGAGACAGCATTTCACCATGTTAGCCAGGATGGTCTCAATTTCCCAACCTCGTGATCTGCCTGCCTGGGCCTCCCAAAGTGCTGGGATTACAGGCGTGAGCCACCGTGCCCGGCCCGAACTTGTCCTATTCTTGACCCCACATGAACAGAAATAAGAGGTAACAGGACTGTCTCAAATAACCTCAACCTCATATGCACATTAATGTGAATTTTTGGATGCCCTGAAAGGCAGATTTTATGTGCAGAAAAGATTATCCAGGGGTTTTCTTAAGTTTTAAAAATTAATATTCAATTTATTAAAGTTATAAATAAAAGGAAAAACCTAGTTTGTCCTTACACTTTTAATTTCAGCTTAAATAACTTATTATTTTAATTATAGATCTAGCAAATTTAGCAATCACTTCTAAGAAGGCTCTGATTAATTTTGGTCTCATTTACGAACTTAAACTCCTTTAAACTTTTCATATTGCATTATTCATCACATATAATATATTTGCTTAACTTCCTAAGTATAATTGGCTGACAAACCTTCTTAAGTGCTGAAGCAATTCTTATAAATTGAATGCATTTAGCATATAAATATGAGCTTGAAGTCTGACTGGCTGTTCCAGTACTACGTGTAAAAGAGCAAATCCCAAGTCCAGATCATTTACTCAGTTACACATTTAAAATTGTAATCTTGAGGCAATCTATTATTTTAATAGACTGAGTTCTCTTAAATATTATAAGAATATAAAATAGAAAAAACACCTTAATATAAAAGATGGCCAGGCGCGGTGGCTCACGCCTGTAATTCCAGCACTTGAGACGCCAAGGTGGGTGGATCACCTGAGGTCAGGAGTTCGAGACCAGCCTGGCCAACATGGTGAAACCCCATCTCTACTAAAAATACAAAAATTAGCCAGGTGTGGTGGCGCATACCTGTAATCCCAGCTACCTGGGAGGCCGAGGCAGGAGAATCACTTGAACCTGGGAGGCGGAGGTTGCAGTGAGCCAAGATTGCACCACTGCACTCCAGTCTCAGCAACAGAGCGAGACTCCATCTCAAATAAGTAAATACATAAATAATTAGGATTTTGTTCTTTTTACATTTCTGTACGTAATTCAAGTCTTCCTGGGGGTAAAAACTACTTACTCACTAAGGGAATAATTCAGTCATTTCAAACCATTTTTGAGGGTCTCTACTCAGCAGTTTGATGTTGTGTAATGATTCAGGATTCTTCTCTGTGACCCTGATGGGCCATTCCGATTCCTATTTATAGATGCTTATCTCAAGACCTTCTGTGTGGGTAGTCTCAGAGCCCTTGGGACTGCCTTCGTCCACAACCTTGGGTTTGAGTCATATCACTACCGAATTCTTCCCTCTGTTCATGGAAATCTGGTAACTACATCAACGAGGTATTTTCTACAGAACTGATTGGGTTTTTTGTTTCTTTGCCTCATAAGATATAAAAATGTCTAAAGGCCCTGGAATGTCACAGTATTAATAGCTGATGTGTATGGAAGGCCTACTATGTACTGGGCATAATTCTATGTGTTCTTCATTTGTTAATTCACTCAATCCTTTTTTTTTCTTTTTTTTTTTTTTTGAGATGGAGTCTCACTCTGTCGCCAGGCTGGAGTGCAGTGGCGCGATTATATTCACCTAGAAGTTTGTGAACACTGTTCCTCTTTCAGTAAAATCCATGTTATAGATGCTGCTGGATTTTAGGCATCCAGAAAGGCCTGAGATTGGCAGCTATTTGTTGACAATTCAATGGGTATAAAAGGTAAGCACTTAAGATAACCAACTATTAGAAGACTGAGAATGACGGTGGTGGGGAGTATTTGGGGGACAGGGGAGCAATACATTCTGGTGATGTCATTTTGGTTCATTACTCAGCAAATTTTTTTTTTTTGACAGAGTTTTGCTCTGTCGCCTATGCCAACTCAGCTTGCTGCAAACTCCGCCTCCAGGGTTCAAGCGATTCTCCTGCCTCAGCCTCCTGAGTAGCTGGGATTACAGGTGCCTGCCACCATGCCTGGCTAATTTTTGTATTTTTAGTAGAGATGGGGTTTCACCATGTTGGCCAGGCTGGTCTCGAACTCCTGACCTCAGGTGATCTGCCAGTCTCAGCCTCCAAAAGTGCTGGGATTACAGGCATGAGCCACCATGCCTGGCCTGAATTAATATTGTTAAAATGTCCATACTACCCAAAGCAATCTATAGATTCAATGCAATCTCTATCAAAATTTCAATTGCTCCTCTTTAAGTGGAGGCCTCAGGCAAAAATAAATAAATACATAAATACATACATACATACATACAGGAAAAAAGAAAAAAATCCAATAGAATTCTTCACAGAAATATAAAAGAAAAATCCTAAAATTTGCATGGAATCAAAAAAGGCCTTGAATACCCAAGCAATCTTGAGAAAGAATAACAAAGCTGGAGGCATCACACTCCTGCTTTCAAACTACATCACAAAACAACAGTAATCAAAGCAGCATGGTACTGGTATAAAAAGACACATAGACAAATGAAACAGAATAGAGAGCCCTGAAATCAACCCATGCTTATACTGTTAACTAATCTTTTACAAAGGTGCCAAGAATACACAATGGGGGAAGAGTAGTCTCTTCAATAAATGTGTTGGGAAAACTGGATATCCACATGGAAAACAATGAAATTGGACCCGTATCATACACCACACACAAAAATTAACTCAAAATTGATTAAAGACTTAAATGTAAGAACTGAAACTGTAAAACTCTTAGAAGAAAACAAAGGGAAAAAGCTCCTTGACATTGGTGTTGGTAATGATTTTTTGTGTAGGACACCAAAAGCATAGGCAACAAAAGTAAAATAAACAAGTAGGATTACATCAAGCTAAAAAGCTTCTGCACAGCAAACAATCAGTAAAATGAAAAGATAACTTATGAAATAGGAGAAAATATTTGCAAATCATATATCTGATAAGGGGCTAACATCCAAAATATATAAGGAACTCATACAAGTCAATAGCCAAAAAATAAATAACCTGATTTTAAAATGAGCAAAGAAATAATAATAGACATTTTTTCCAAAGAACACAGCAAGTATATGAAAATGTGCTCAGCATCACTAATCATCAGGCAATTGCAAATCAACACTACATGAGCTAGCAACTCACACCTGTTAGAATGGTTCTTTTGAAAAAGACGGAGATATCAAGTGTTGGCTAAGATGTGGAGGAAGACAAGGGAACCCTGGACACTGTTGGTGGGAGTATAAATTGGTACAGCCATTATAGGTAACAGTATGAAGTTTCCTCAAACAATTAAGAATAGTGCTACCATTTCATCCAAGAATCCCACTTCTGGATGTATAGCCAGATAAAATGAAGTCAGTATCTTAAAGAGAAATCTGCTCCATCATGTTCATTGCAGCATTATTCACAATAGCCAAGATATGGGAGCAACATAAATGTCCACTGACAGATGAATGGCTAAAGAAAATGGGAAATATATACACATTGGAATATTATTCAGCCATAAAAAAGGAAATCTTGCCATTTGTGACAACATGGATGAACCCACAGAACACAATGCTAAGAGAAATAAGCCAGACACACAAAGAAATACTGTATGTCTCACTTATATGTGGAATCTAAAGCACACACACACATACAGGTAACTATGTGAGGTGATGGATATGTTAATTTGCTTGGTTATGATAATCATTTCACCATGTATACACGTATCAGTGTGTCATATATCAAATCATCGTGTTGTATACCTTTAATATGTTCATTTTTTTGTCAATTATACTACCAGTTTTCTCAATAAAACTGGGAAAAAACGAAACAACATATAGTAACAATGGCAAAAAAGAAGCCAGTAAAATATATCCTATCATTCAATCCAAATAATCAATGGTGGAGCTGACTGTAAATTTTAAGAAAGAGGAAAGTAGAAACATTTATTGAGTGCTTGCTTTTTTTTTTTTTGAGATGAAGTTTTGCTCTGTCGCCCAGGCTGGAGTGCAGTGGCGCGATCTTGGCTCACTGCAAGCTCTGCCTCCCGGGTTCACGCCATTCTCCTGCCTCAGCCTCCGGAGTAGCTGGGACTACAGGCACCTGCCACCACACCCGGCTAATTTTTTGTATTTTTAGTGGAGATGCGGTTTCACCGTGTTAGCCAGGATGATCTCGATCTCATGACCTCGTGATCCACCCACCTCGGCCTCCCAAAGTGCTGGGATTACAGGCGTGAGCCACTGCACCCGGCCTGAGTGCTTGCTTTAAGTCAGGCATTGTTCTAAGTTCTTTCTGTACCTGTATCATCTCATTTAATCCTCAGAGTAGCCATGTGAGGTTTTGTAGTACTATCAGCTCAAATTAGTCTTTTAAACGTTTATTTATTTATTTTTGAGACAGGGTCTTACTCTGTCACACAAGCTGGTGGAATCTTAGCTCACTGTAACCTCGAACTCCTGTATCATCCCAAATTTAAACGAGTCAAACGGCAGTTAAAGGACCTATCCAGGATCACAGAACTAATGAATAACACAATCCAGATCCAGACCTGAGCCCAGGCTGTCTGGTTCCAGCACCTGGTTCTCAACCTTTGCAGTGTAGTGCAATTTTTACCAAAGAGTTCCTGAAATGAACGCAACATAATTAAAAAAAAAAAAAAAGGCCAGGTATGGTGGCTCACACCTATAATCCTAGCACTTTGGGAGGCCAAGGTGGGTGGTCAGGATTTCGAGCCTGACCAACATGGTGAAACTCCTTCTCTACTAAAAAAATACAAAATTAGCCGGGCATGGTGGCATCCACCTGTAATCCGAGCTACTTGGGAAGCGGAGGCAGGAGACTTGCTTGAACCTAGGAGGCGGAGGTTGCAGTGAGCAGAGATCGCGCCACTGTACTCCAGCTTGGGCAACAAGAGGAAACTCCATCTCAAAAATAAAAAATAAAAAAATTTTAAAAATCACAGATGGAAGCTCGAGCTGATTTTAATGAAACCTCTGTGAAGCAGTGAGGGAAAAAGTTGTGCTAAAATTATATCATTTTTAGAGCAGAGAATTTTATACATATTGACAAATTCTTTTTAAACTTTTCAAAAATGCTAACAGCTAATTTTATTTATCCCAAAATGGGAATCACTTTGTTTCTCTTGATTATAAAAATGATACATAGTCATGGTAAAAAAAATTAAACACTCCATAAAGTCCAAAGAAGGTAAATGTCATTCTAATTCCCACTACCCATTGATAACCTGCGGTGCAGTGTGGTGAATGACCTAGACATCTTTTTTTTTTTTTCAAATATGTACACAAATGACTCTGTGTATATCAGATCGGCATGTGGGTGTGTGTATAGGTGTATCCACCTATCTCCATGTCAAGAAATATAGATCTTGCCAGGCAGTGGCTCATGCCTGTAACCCCAGCACTTTGAGAGGCCGAGGAGGGGGTGGATCACCTGAGGTCAGGAGTTCAAGACCAGCCTGGTCAACATGATGAAACCCCATCTCTATTAAAAATACAAAAATTAGCTGGGCATGGGCGCGCCTGTAGTCCCAGCTACTCAGGAGGCTGAGACAGGAGAATCGCTTGAACCTGGGAGGTGGAGGTTGCAGTGAGCCTTGATTGCACCACTGCACTCCAGCCTGGGTGACAGAGCAAGACTCCATCTCAAAAAAGAAAAAAAAAAAGAAATATAGATCTCCATTATCCCTTTAACAGTGCAGAGTAATCCACTGTATGGATGTGACATTATTCATGTATATAATCAGAAGTTAATGGATCTAAATGTACTGTTTTCAGTTTTTTGAAATTACAGACAGGCTGCGATGAATATCCTTAAACACATGTCTTCATGCACTTGCCCAGTTATCTTCTTGGGATACCGTTGGTGGGATTTAGAGAAAAATCACTCACATTAGGGAGGGTATATACTGCTGACTTTGACCCATCAAATCCAGCCATGGATTCTCTGCAAACTGAGGGGCCACCCAGCTCCCTGAACAGTGGTCTTATTCTGCTGGGTCCTTGTGAGGGCGTAGCATAGCCTCACATCCTAAATTAAAGTCAGTTCACCGGCTGCTGCTCGGGTAACTGGCGAGAGAAAAGAGCCTTTGCCTCTCCGCAGCCGGGGAATTTCCAAATCCTGAAATTGTCCTGTCCAGACACAGTAAATAGTTTGGCCACAACAATCTCTGCATCCACCTCCCTCCCATCTGTCTGGGCTGGGCATGCCCGTAATGTTTTTCATTCTGTGACAGGCTTGAGCATCCTTTTCTTAAAGGAGACAAAGGAGATAAAAGGGCCTGGGCTCAGAATTTTGCAAGCAGAACACACGGAGGTTGTGCCAAGACAGAGATGGTGGCTCGATGGCCAGCTAATTCTTGTTTATCCAACAAGCCATGCTAGTTGCTGGGGAGACCCAGAGAAATGAGACACAGTCCCTGTTCATGGGGGTTAGCTGTGTAGTAGAGTTGATAGACCCATGGGGCCATGGAGCGGGTGTTGGGGATGGGGCAGAGGCTACTCCATTATCACAGACTTCAGAGTGTCTTTCCAGCAAGACTAGCCACACAGTCTGCCTTTAAAGTCCCCTGGTAAGTCACTCAAAATGATATTTTCAAGTGCCTAGCATTTACATCTTCTGGGTGTTGGGGATTGACATCTGTTATCACAGGCAATGGCGCTTTTATTATCATTGGAACAGGTGGATGGGGATGTCAGCCCTCCTCTGGCAGGACCAAAGCACTGGCCATCTGCAAAGGGAGGACATTTGGGTGTCCTCGGACTTGGGCAAAGGTGCACCCTAGGCTTTAGAGAGCCCAAACCAATTTTCCTCCAAATGTCCTCTATACCTGGTTTTTCTAGGTTAGGGTTCAGGACCCAATCTGCTTACATCCACAAATCTCTTTTAATTTAGAACAGCCTCTATTTTCATACCGTGAATTGAAGGAATTAAGCTACTGTCCGATAGAATATTCTGCCTTCTAGATTTCACTGATTGGTTTCTTACTGTGAGTTTGGATAGTTCTGTCTTGTCTAACATACCTCACTGAGTAATTCAGAAGGAGAAAGCAGAAAAAAACAAAAGTCAGTGAGCATAGAAAAGATGAGAGATGAGAATTATGGAATTACAAATTTTACTTAATGGGAATTTCCAGAACATTTCACCAAGTAACTGCAGACATTACATTACTTTCAAGCACGTCTGGAATATTTATGAAAATTGACCATTTATCTTGCCAAAAAGCAATCTTTTGTTAATGCCAAAAGGATGGATTGAACAAACAATATTTTCTGACCACCATGTACTTCAATAAGAAATAAATAACAAAAAAGCATAGAAATAGGAAAAACCTTTAAATAATTCATGGGTAAAAAAAGAAAGCATAACAGGTTTTAGAATATGCTTAGAAGCGAACAATAATGAAAATTCCACGTATCAGAACATATGAGAGGCTTATGATATAGGAGAAAAAGGCTGAAAATCAATAAGCCAAACATTTAACATGAGAAGTTACCAAGAGAACAGCTGAGTAAATCCTAAACAGTAGAAAAAAGAAAATTTACAGGTAAGAGCAGAAATAAATGAAACAGAGAGCAATCATAAAATTGACATGACGAACAAAGCCAAATTTTGTTTTTTTGAAAAAACTAATAAAACTGGCAAACCTTTGGCAAGACTAATTAGGAAATAGAGATGGGACCCATAAAGTATAGCAGAATTGAAAGGAAATTGGCTGGGCGCCGTGGCTCACGCCCGTAATCCCGACACTTTGGGAGGCCGAGGCAGGCAGATCACCTGAGGTCGAGAGTTCAAGACCAGCCTGACCAACATGGAGAAACCCTGTCTCTCCTAAAAATACAAAATTAGCCGGGCGTGGTGGTGCATGCCTGTAATCCCAGGTACTTGGGAGGCTGAGGCAGGAGAATCGCTTGAACCTGGGAGACGGAGGTTGCAGTGAGCCGAGATTGCACCATTGTACTCCAGCCAGGGCAACAAGAGCAAAACTCCGTCTCAAAAAAATTAAATAAAAATAAAGAAAGGAAACATGACTTCGATGAAGAATCAATTTTAAAAATGTAAAAATATGATGCAACTTTATGCCAATAATTTTGAAAATGTAAATCAAGTTGCACAAATTTTACATTTAAGACATTTTAAATGTAAACGATGTTTTAACCATTTAAAAAATTGAATTGGTGACTAAAAATCTTCATATCAAAGAAACAGCAGGACTAGACTTTTTTTTTTAAACAGAAGGGTTTTACCAAACATTTAAGGAATGAATACTTTCAAATACAAACTATTCCAGCAAGTAGAAAAATTACCAATACTTGCTAATAATTTTTACAAAGTTGGCTTAATCTGCTTGTTATCCCAACCAAAGACTGTTTGAGGAAGGAAAATATAGAACAATCTTTTCCATAAACAAAACATCAGTAAACTGAATCCAAGATAATACATCATGACCAAATTGGATTAGAGTACACTAGAATAGATTAGAAAAGTAAGTACGTAATTTTTCACATTAACAGATAGAAGGAGAAAAACCATAGGATCATTTCAATAAATGCAGAACAGGTGTTTGCTGAAATTCAACCTCTATTTATGATTAAAAAACTAAACAAATTAAGAATATAAAGAAACGCTTTTAAACTAATACAGGATGTCTTTTTGTTATTTATTTGTTTATTTTATGAGATGGAGTCTCGCTCTGTCACCCAGGCTGGAGTGCAGTGGTGCAATCTTGGCTCACTGCAACCTCTGCCTCCTGAGTTCAAGCGATTCTCCTGCCTCAACCTCCTGAGTAGCTGGGAATTACAGGCGTGCGCCCCTACGCCCAGCTAACTTTTGTATTTTTAATAGAGACAGCGTTTCACCATGTTGCCTAGGCTGGTCTTGAACTCCTGACCTCTGGTGATCCGCCTGCTTGTCCTCCCAGAGTGCTGCGATTACAGGCATGAGCTACCACGCTCAGCCATAAAAGATGTATTTTTTTAAAAATTCCCCACAGTGAAGACTTTAGTAAATATTAAAATGTTAAGATCAGTAACAAGCCAAGGAAACTTACTCTCACCATTCTATTAAACATTAAAGTATAGTAGGGCCAGGAAAAATGAATGAAGGATACAACATTGGGACAGAAGACACAAAACTGCCATAACTTCCAGATAATATGATTACTCTCTCTCATTGTGGAACTGCCTGGAACAGTGCCTGGTGTGCAGTAGGCACTCGAAAAATATTTGTTGATCATTATGTTGTGACTTACTTTATCTCAAGTTATTTTATTTATTTATTTTTTGCCTTGAAGCCTTCTGTTTCTTCCCCCCTCTGAATACTGAAAGATGTATATGTGCTTTTTTTTCTTCTTTTTTTGGAGACGAAGTTTCTCTCTTGTCGCCCAGGCTGGAGTGCAAGATCACTGCAACTTCTGCCTCCCGGGTTCAAGCAATTCTCCTGCCTCAGCCACCCGAGTAGCTGGGACTACAGGCATGCACCACCACGCCCAGGTATTTTTTGTATTTTTAGTTGAGACGGGGTTTCACTACGTTGGCCGGGTTGGTCTCAAACTCCTGACCTCAGGCAATCTGCCCAACTTGGCCTCCCAAAGTGCTGGGATTACAGGCATGAGCCACTGTGCCCGGCTGATCCTGGACTTTTGTTGTTGGGAAGCATTTTAGTACAGGTGCAATCTCTTTACTTGTAAGATTTATGTGCAGATTTTTTATTTCTTTTCAAACCAGTTTTGGTAATTTGTGTGTTTCTAGGAATTTGTACATTTCATCTCGGTTACCTAATTTGTTGGTGTACTATTCTCCCATAATCCTTTTTATTTCCGTAAGGTTGGTAGTAGTGTCCCCGCTTTCATTTGCGGTTTTAGTTTTTGGCATTTTTTCTTTTTTCCTTAGTCTAGCTAAAGCTTTGTTAATTTTGTTGATTTTTTTTTTCAAATATCAACTTTTGATTTTGTTGATTTTCTCTGTTGTTTTTCTACTCTCTGTCTCATTTTTCTCCATGTTAATCTTTTATTTTTATTATTTCCTTCTTTCTGCTAGCTTTCTGTTTAATTTGCTCTTCTTTTTCTAATTCCTTAAGGTATAAAATTAGGTTATTGATTTGAAATCTTTCTTTTTTGATGTAGGCATTTAGTGTTAGAAATTTCCCTTTGAGCATCACATTTGCAGCATGCCATTAAATCCTTGCCTTTTAACAGGAAAGTTTAATTAATTCAAATTTATTATGATTACCTATATATGAATTTATGACTACATCTTATTGTCTCATTTATTTTTTTTCCTGTTGTTTATAACTTGCTCTTTTTTGGACTGTTTTGAATAGATGAAGATTTTTCTCTTATTTCTGTTTTTCCACTTTGTTGGTTTGGAAGTTTTATATTCTGTTTTTATTCTCTCAATGACTACCCTGCAATTTATCATATACATTGCAGCCTTGAACTCCTGGGCTCAAGTGATCCTCCTGCCTTGGCCTCCCAAAGTGTTGGGACTAAAGGCATGAGCCACTGCATCTGGACTATCATATACATTCTAATGTTAACCAATCTCTTTTCTCTATTTTATCTTACCTGTAACAGAAATTTTACGTTTATTTTGCTTCCTTTGCAAACTTTATATTATGGAAAATTTCACATCTATACACAAGTAAAAAACAATATAGTGATATGGGTGCAGTGGCTCACACCTGTAATCTCAGCACTTTGGAAGGCCAAGGTGGGTGGATCACAAGGTCCAGAGATGGAGACCATCCTGGCAAACATGGTGAAACCCTGTCTCTACTAAAAATTTAAAAAATTAGCTGGGTGTGGTGGCGCGTGCCTGTAATCCCAGCTACTCGGGAGGCTGAGGCAGTAGAATTGCTTGAACCCAGGGGGCGGAGGTTGCAGTGAGCCAAGATCATACCACTGCACTCCAGCCTGGTGACAGAGTGAGACTTTGTCTCAAAAAAACATATGTGTGTATATATATAATATATGATATATATTATATATATAATTATATGTAATATTATATATAATACATATATATAATACATATATAATATATATAGTGAACACCCATGTACCAATTATGTCTCCAACAATTATCAATATTTTGCCAATTTTGTTTCATCTATTTCCTTATTTTTCTTTTTTTGTTTTCTATATTATTTTAAAGTAGATCTCAGATATCATGTCATTTCACCTGTAAATACTTCATTATGCATCTTTAACTCAGACATTTTGTTTTTATATAACCACTGTCTAATAATTACATTGTTTCTATCATTCAATATTCAGTTCATATACAAATTTTTCTGTTTCAAAAGCATCTTTTCAGGTTTTTTTTTCAGATCAGGATTCAAACAAAGGCCACATATTGCATTTTATTGCTGTTCCTTGTCTCTTTTATTCTATAGGGAACCTTGTTTTATTTCCATGCCACCAATTTATTAAAAATCTGGTCATTTTGGAGAGGCATGTCCTACATTCTGGATTTAGCTGATTGCTTCCTTGTGGTGCCTTCTTCTTCTATCCCCTGTATTTCCTATTAACCAGTATGTATGTCTAGCTAGCTAAATTAGGTTCAGATTTATTTACTTAGGAAGGAACATTCACAAGTGATGCTCTTACTTCCTGTTTCATCACATCATAAAGCATGTAAGGTCTGGTTGTCTCCATTTTTTAAATGATAATTTTCATAAATGGTTTCAGGTGCTATCAGCCTAATCTCTTCCTTATGAAGTTCCCTATTCATCTTTCACTTAACGGATTGGTTGTTCATTGGTGATCATTGGCTACATCCATGGTTTCATTAGGGATTGTAAAATAGTGATTTCCTAACATTTTTCTGCATTTAGTAGCTGAAATTCTTCTATAAAGAAATTTCCCTCATGCACTATTTGGTTACTGTTAAATCGACCCATCTTAGTAAAAAGAAAAAACCCAAACAACAAAGAACCCTTCAAGTTGGCTTCTGTGTCCTTTGACGTGATCCCAGCAGTCTGTGATAGCTTCCTTTTTGTCTAACACAACGTATTCTAGGCAATTTTTACAATTCCTGCCCCAGACCTGGAACCAGCTGTTATGTTAAGAAACGCTAGTTCCTTTAGGGGAAAATGATACTTAGAGACCACAATCTGGGGACTGAGGAGTGATCATTACTAGTGTGTTTTCATGCCTTCCAGGATTTTCAGTGCACATATTAGGAAATGAGTGCATTCTAAAAGAAAAGAGTTATGAGTTCATACTGATATTTCCAATTCAAATTTATGATTACAAGAGTTTAACTCAAAATATTTGGTTTAATACTTGTATATTTTTTTCTTTCACTGAAAATCTTGGTTTTTGTTTTGTTTTGTTTTTAGAGATGGGGTCTATGTTGCCCAGGCTAGGGTGCAATGGCTGTTTACAGGCACAATTGTAGCACACTACAGCCTCAAACTCCTGGGCTCAAGCGATCCTCCTGCCTCAGCCTCCCAGTCTATAGGTGTGCACCAATGCACTCAACTGAAACTTTTGTTTTTTTAATGAGCAAACGTATGTATTATTTGGCTTATCCTATAATATACCTATAGGTATTCCAAAATTAAAAATTTCAAAATTGCTACTAACAATAAGACCCTGAATATAGTTCAACATTTCTATGTAGTTCTTATTGTCTTTAGAATATTTTCCACTAGGAATGTACACTTAAAATACTGTGTTTTAAAGTAACATGAAATAATTTTTTAATGTGTCTATGCTACTAACTTGATGTATTTTAGTTTAGCTTGTTTAAATTTGTTTTCAATTTTTAGGGATTTTTTTCTATTTTGATTTCATTTTATTTTGTATTTATGTAAAATTTGTTTTATTTTAAAGTGAAAACTGTAAAACAAGGTGTCTTCACAGAAGTCTCCTTTCCATCCTACTTTACCCTGTTTACTGCCTTCCTCTTCACATTGTATAGATTTTTGGTTTGGTTTGTCCTCACCTTGCATTGCTCCCTTTCTGGAGACACATATTTTTCTTTTTAATCACATATAACACTTCTTTATCAACTTGATATATCAGATTTTGTATGATAACATCAGGGTTTTAGGCTATAAATCCAAATTATTCTCCCAAGTAGTATTATTAAATCCAAAACCATCTTGAATCTTTACCTAACCCCCTCCACATACACTTAGAAGTTTTTTTTTTTTGTTTTTTTGTTTTTTTGTTTTGAGACAGAATTTCCCTCTCTTGCCCAGGCTGGAGCACAGTGGCACCATCTTGGCTCACTGCAACCTCCACTTCCCAGGTTCAAGTGACTCTCGTGCCTCAGGCTCCTGAGTAGCTGGGATTACAAGTGTGCACCACCACACCTGGCTAATTTTTTTTGTATTTTTAGTAGAGATGGGGTTTCACCACGTTGGCCAGATTAGTCTCGAACTCCTGGCCCACTTAGAGGAATTTTATTTTAAAATTATTTATTTGTTTTTTGAGATGTAGTTTCACTCTTGTTGCCCAGGCTGGAGTGCAATGGCGCGATCTCTGCTCACCGCAACCTCCGCCTCCAGGGTTCAAGCAATTCTTCTGCCTCAGCCTCCCAAGTAGCTGGGATTACAGGCATGCGCCACCATGCCCAGATAATTTTTGTATTTTAGTAGAGATAGGGTTTCATCATGTTGCAGGCTAGGTTTTAGGGAGAGGTTATTATTATTATTATTATTTTCTTTTTTGAGATGGAGTCTCACTCTGTCGCCCAGGCTGGAGTGCGGTGGTGTGATCTCAGCTCACTGCAACCTCTGCCTTCCAGGTTCAAGCGATTCTCTTGCCTCAGCTTCTCAAGTAGCTGGGATTACAGGTGCCCACCACCAAGCCCGGCTATTTTTTGTATTTTTAGTAGAGATGATGTTTCACCATGTTGGCTAGGTTGGTCTCGAACTCCTGACCTCAAGTGATTCTCCCACCTCAGCCTCCTAAAGTGCTGGGATTACAGGCATGAACCACCCCATCGGGCCCACTTAGAGGAATTTTAAAAAGACTGCTTAAAATTTTGGAGTGCCATATGGTTAATATGTGAAAATATTTAGGTTTGCCCTAAAATCTTCTAATTTATGGGTGAAAATGCATGCTTCACTCCATATGTGTTTGTGTTTATATTTTAATTGCAGGTAATCCTAATGTAAAACTTCTAATTTATTAAGGAGCTTTTGATAAAACCAAATGCCTACTGATTCATGTTTAAAATTCAAATTTCTCAAAGCAATTATGAAATATGCCCATATTATACTTATTTAAAAAACTAAAAATAATAAATAATTATTGAAAGAAGCTATTGTACCTTTGGTTCTTTACCCCAAAAGTTCAAGTGGAATTTTTTTTATAGATTTACATAATTTTCTTTTCTTTTATTTATTTATTTATTTATTTATTTATTTATTTATTTTTTTGAGATAGAGTCTCGCTCTGTTGCCCAGGCTGGAGTGCAGTGGCTTGACCTTGGCTCACTGCAATCTCTGCGTCCCAGGTTTAAGCATCCTCCCAGCTCAGACTCCCGAGTAGCTAGGACTACAGATGTGTGCACCACCACACATGACTAATTTTTTTTTATTTTTATTTTTTGTGGAGACGGAGTTTTGCCATGTTGTCTAGGCTGGTCTTGAACTACCGGAGTCAAGCAGGAGTCTTGCCTCAGCCTCCCAAAGTGCTAGAATTACAGGTGTGAGCCACTGTACCTGGCCTAGATTTACATAATTTCCGCTACAACCGATTTCTAAAAGACAGTAGGCTTTATAATTGTATCACATTTCCATTGTAGTATACTTCAATTGTGGTTCTATGATCATATATTTGCAGAAGGTTTTGCCTATTTAGTTTTAGTGCAAAAATTCAGGTTTTTGCATGGAAGCAGGCTGTGCTATACCTCCAATTCCCAATTTTGTATTTTGTAGTAATTGCACTTAACCTTACGGAAACTAACAAAATTACTAAGCTTTAAAATTCAGATTAAATTTAAAATGTTGGCTTTCATTATACATTCCCTATAACTGTAATTTAGAACACATACCATCTCTCAAATTTGAAAAAAATTTAGAAAAACAACAAAATTTATACATGCTTTACAGAGTCATACCTGAGATCTTGAGATTATCTTTTAAATTTAATACACCAAGCTCTTTCCTTGAGGAAAAGTTTTCTATCCATAAAATAATCTGAAATCAGAGTTGCTTCTAAGCAAACACACTTAAATTTCAGCTATCTATTTAGTGTCATCTAGTAGAGTAGGATTCTTTATTGGAAATATGAACAATTTACCTCTATTTTTGGCTGCAATATTCTGAGTTTAACCCGAGGAAAAAAAATGTTCATTTTGATTAATTTTTGATTTTTCAGATATTCCACTTTTAGTAGACAAGTGAAATGCTGTCGTTTCAGACCTTTTATTTTTTAAATGTGATATTCT
This sequence comes from Homo sapiens, assembly GCF_000001405.40. Taxonomy (NCBI): domain Eukaryota; kingdom Metazoa; phylum Chordata; class Mammalia; order Primates; family Hominidae; genus Homo; species Homo sapiens. Next base: position 16,367 of record NW_003315972.2, read on the forward strand.
CTTTATTAAATGTATAAACTCAAAATCCTAGTTATTTTTGAGATTTCAAGTTCATTTTACACTTTGTATTATTCTAAGAAGAGCACATGCTTGGTTCCATTTACAACCACTTTAATCTTTAAGTTGCATTTATAAATTTAGCATCTTTAATTTCCTTCACTACTATTTTAATGGCCTGACCACAATAGTGGCATGTGACCTGAGACCACAAACTTCTCTCTTCCTTTCCTGTATCTCTGAGGTAAACCGATCATCCCAGCTGCAGTATCAGCCAAGGAGTAGTGTAACCGAGTATCCCAGCCTCGAAATGCATTTTAAAACTTTTTTTTCCTTTCTTGCTTTCAGCCTTGAAACATACTTTGAAATTCTTTCTCTTTTTCCCACCAGGTGCTCCCGTGCACAGTGCTGACTTATCCGATTATGTGCTTGCTTAGAAATTTCAGGGGGCAGTTTTGCAACAAGCCAGGCAGAGAGACCCAGCTGTTGAATCCTCCCGCTCAAGGGAAGTTAGGAAGTTAGTCCACCACCACTGGGCTGAAGACAGGATGACACAAACCAGACCTCCAGATGGGTGATTACTTGAGATAGCTATAGAACAAGACATGCAGACCTGCATTCTCCTGCACCATGCCCGCATATTTTCTACACCTTTTTCCTTCTTAAATCCCTTCACTCAGCCCAGAAGGCAGAGACGTTTCCCTTTGAAGCTTGAGCCCAGCCATGGTCCCATCTGCTAGCATTTGACCAATAGAAGCTGCTTTCCTTTCACCACATACCAAGCTTCTCATGCTTTGACTGCTGAGCGGTGAGCAGCTGAACTTGAGCTGGTTACAGACTTGGTGCCTGAGTGAGGAGGTGTGTGTTCTGAGCAGCTCAGCCTGTAGGCCTGGTTTCCAGCGAGTGGAGCAGTTGGCCAGGCAGTGGACCAAGGCTTACCCACTGATGGTACCAGGCAGGGCAGGGCCATTTGCAAATGCTAGCTATGCTAGCTACTTGTGGCCAGTGGACCCTGCGACTGGGGCCTTGGGAATTCCCAACAGATGCAGAGACTGCCTTTGTTTGGGGTATTTTCCTTTGCCTCCTTTTCATGGCATCAGGTGCTATCATGCTCTGATGGTGTAAGGAAAGCAGCATTCAGTAAGTTGATGGCCTTCAGGACTGGGTAAGTCAACCAGAGTGCACCTGGAGTTGTCTGTCTCTGCCATCTGGGCTGTCCAGCCACCTGGACCTAGCATAGGTCATCTTGGTGCCATCTGAGCCTCCATGCTATCTGCACCTAACACAGGTCACTCTGTGGTGCCCTCTGGGTTTGACACAAGATCTCAGGACTTTTCTCCAGTCTCTCCTCTTTGGGGATTGGTATGGAGTGCTCTGTCTGCATGGGATCTGTCTGTGTTTGTGTCTCTGTTTAGTGTTACCCCTTTCTCCAAGGGTGCTTTGGACTAGTCTCCATCCCACCCGCCAAGACTAGGTCAGAAAGCATCAAGATAGGCTGCTTCTCTCCTCTGCAGGGGAGAAAGTTTCCAATATCCTAGCCTCTAATTTTGTCATCCTCTCTGAGACCTCCAGAGTATTTCCTGAATCCATGTCAAGGTTTGTGGGGGGAGAAAGCAAGTCAACTCTCTTTTCTAGACAATCTGAGACTCCACCTGGTTACATATTATGGCCAACTTTTGTGCACATTTTAAGCTGATGGGCAAATTACAGTAAGGGAAATTCAGAGGTCAAATGGTTAACCTGCAACTCTACAGTTAAGCAGAGTCTTCTAAGGCTCTCTACCTCTCTTTTCTTTTCTGCCTTCTTTGAATCTGCTGTTATTCAGCTACTGGTGTTGAGATAAAACTTACTGTTTCCACATTACTTGGAGATTTTGTTTTTCTTATACATTTCAGCCAGTTCTAGCTAAAATGGAAACACTAGAAACTCACTTGAAACTGCAGAAAAAAGAAGAGTAAAAAGGTTTTCAAAACCAAACTGCCATAGAAACTACTTTACCCAAATTTTGGTTCACAGATTTCCTTAAATTGGGGCAAACAGCTTTCCTTAGCCATGTGAACAGGTTCCAATTTCATCAGAAAAATAATTTGGATCCAGCTATCTTTTATAAAGTGGTGAGTCTGTACTGCTATCTTATGGCTGGAGTTCCAAAGTAAAAGCTATTGGATCTTTGTGCATGTAGGTATACATGTTTAGATATGCTTGTGTGTACATACATGTATTATGTTGTATATTGTGTCTAGCATGCTACCAAATTGGATTATAAGTAAATGAGTACTCATAAATTAAATAAGTCCAGATGCTTTTCAAATTCACATGAATCTTTGGTAAATAAAACTAAAATTATTGATAGAAATGTCTTCAAAATTGTCAGAATACATTTTTGTCTGAGTTTTTTAACCAAATGGTTTTATATTTGTCTCTGTCTACATGTTAAGGTGTCAGAGTTTCACATAAAGGTTATAGGACTATAAACCCAAACAAAACCAAAATTATCTTTGTGTAATTTTTTTTTGACAAAAAGACTAGATTGTTGGTTTAATTAAAACAGCTGAATCTTCTGAGTTATTGGCAAAATGTGTTTACGTTTAAGGTTCTTGGGTGTTCACCTGCTATTCAGACTTTTAAAATGGTTAATAAATAAATAACTTATTTATTTATTTATTTATTTATTTATTTATTTTTTGAGACAGGGTCTTGCTGTGTTGTCCAGGCTGGAGTACAATGGTGCAAACTTGCCTCACTGCAACCTCCTCTTCCCAGGCTTAAGTGATCCTCCCACCTCAGTCTCCCAAGAAGCTGAACTATGGCTGTGTACCACCACGTGGTACCAGCTAATTTTTGTATTTTTTTGTAGAGATGAAGTTTCTCCATGTTGCTGAGGCTGAAATAAATTTAAATAATGACTAGATTTGTGTAACATCTCAGTTTTCAGAAGTAATCTAGATAAACTGTTAAAAATGGAAAAAATTGAGTACATGTAAATGAGATAAATGCTTGTAAGTGGACTTCTTGTATAATTTAAAATCTTGACATTATTTTGAATTAAATAATAGATGCTTTTTTGGATGTCTGGGTCATTTCCAATTAAGAAAAAAATAATGTGTGAAAACATGTTATAATGTTATAATATGGGAAAACGTAATATTATGGAATGGTTTATAATATTATGGAGTAGTTGTTTCATCTACAAAATGCTAATATCTAACAAACAGTTCAGGATTTCTTGCTTCATAGGTTTTTACTAAAATTTAAGGTTACCAAGAATAAAAATTCTAATTAATATATAATCGTGTAAGTTGTGTTATTGAAAACTAACACAATACTTTTATGTAATTTGGGGGTTATTTAAAAGTAACTTCTAAAAGAAGGTAGAAAGGACCAGTAAGTAGGAGAGAGATGTTAAGAAAGTTGTGGTTATGAAGATGTGTTTTTGGTAAGAAAGGTTATAAAGAAAAGAAAATGATTTTGTATAAAAATATAGCCTCATATGGTAAATTTTTGTCCTAAAGAAAAATGATTATTTAGGAAAGAGAGAAGTATAGGACAAGTCAGAAATTCCAAGCATGTCATAGACGGTCTGTATAAGTTGCAAAATGTTCATGAAGGGGAATTTATAAAAGGAATTTTGTGGGTTGTTTTTTTTTTTGAGATGGAGTCTGCTCTGTCTCCCAGGCTAGTGTGCAGTGGAGTGATCTTGGCTCACTGCAACCTCTGCCTTCCAGGTTCAAATGATTCTCCTGCCTTAGCCTCCTAAGTAGTTGGGATTAAGGGTGTGCACCACCACACCCAGCTAATTTTTGTATTTTCAGTAGAGTCGGGGTTTCGCCATGTTGGCCAGGCTGGTCTCAAACTGTTGACCTCAGGTGATCTGCCTGCCTCGACCTCTCAAAGTGCTGGGATTACAGGCATGAGCCACCACGCCAGGCCTATAAAAGGAATTTTGTCTTGTGGTTAAGTTAGCTATGATTAAAAGGGAATTATTTATGATAGTATTTCTAAAGAACAGTCCCCTATGTTAAAATGGGGCTTTCTTAAGCTATTGATTTGCTCTTATTAAAATTACAAGAAGATTTGCTTTTTAATTCTATAAACTGTTTCTTTTGAAAACTTCTTAGATTAATATCTTAAAAGTTCAGCTTTTGTTGTATCTCACTGCATTCAGCTTTTTCTCCCTTTGAAAAGGCCTGAGATGATAACTCTCCTTCAACTTTGTCCATCAACTTCTATAATTTTTTCCCCTCTGGATCTAACTGTTGTGGCCAGATGCTGAAATGTTTTATCTTAGAAGTCTGTAAAAGCAGTGGTTTCCTCCAGTATAACTTGATTCTGTTGTCTTGGCTTTTCTTGATATGTCTAAATTTTCAGTTAATCAGGAAACTTCTCATGCAGTTACTAAGAGTCATGTATTCCCCTGTTATACTCATGATCTTGAACATACTCTTTCTGTGTCTAATTAAATTAAAGCACTTTTTTTCATCAAGTTTGACTTCCAGGTTATCTAAGTGGGCTTCCCATAAGGAGAAGCAGTCACACCGCAGAAAGTTTTTCTTTGCCTTTTTGGCAACTGGCTCAAGAAACAAGATTCTACATTTTATGGAGGTAATTCCTATGCTGTCTTTTTTTTTTTTTTTTTTTTTTTTTTGAGATGGAGTCTCGCTCTGTCACCCAGGCTGGAGTGCAGTGGCACGATCTCAGCTCACTGCAAGTTCCGCCTCCCGGGTTCATGCCATTCTCCTACCTCAGCCTCTCAAGTAGCTGGGACTACAGGTGTCCGCCATCATACCCGGCTAATTTTTTGTATTTTTAGTAGAGACGGGTTTCACTGTGTTAGCCAGGATGGTCTTGATCTCCTGACCTCGTGATCCGCCTGCCTTGGCCTCCCAAAGTGCTGGGATTACAGGCGTGAGCCACCATGCCCTGCCCCTATGCTGTCTTTATTAGGTTTTGTTTGTTTGTTTGTCTTTGAGACAGAGTTTTGCTCTTGCCATCCAGGCTGGAGTGCAATGGCACGATCTGGGCTCACTGAAACTTCCACCTCCCAGATTCAAGCAATTCTGCCTCAGCCTCCTGAGTAGCTGAGATTACAGGCGTGCACCACCACACCCAGCTAATTTTGTATTTTTAGTAGAGATGGGGTTTCACCATGTTGGCCAGGCTGGTCTCAAACTCCTGACCTCAGCTGATCCGCCTGCCTCGGCCTCCAAAAATCCTGGGATTACAGGCATGAGCCATCACAGCTAGCTATAGGTTTTTGATTGCTTAAAAAAACTGAGATTTAAAAGGGTTAAGGCTTTTACGCCCATTTATCCTTCTGTATTGCCTTTAAAGTCTTTTAGTTATCTCCTTGTTTCAATGAGTAACTACTATTTTACAATGACCATTATTCTGTTTTGATAAAATGTTTTGAGCTTTTTAACATATTTGACAAACATCCTCAAATCAAATCCTAAATTAAGAGCCTGACTTACTGCTGAGGTTTATCAAAGCTATAAAAGTTAATCACTGGAAGTCTGTAAAATCTTTTTACAGCTTCCAGTCAGGTCATGAACTCAAGTATCACCACCTTCAGCCTCAAAAAAGCCCTAAAAGGTGCTATTAACTAATCTTTGTGCTGTTAAGTTATGGGGCTTTGACTCCTGGGTACACATATCTCATCTAAAGAAGGCATTGGCTCCTGCCAGTCTCTGACACCAAACTCGAGTTAGCCAAAGCCTCGTCTTTAGACCTGGGCAAAGGAGACAATCAAAGCAAACTGCTTTCATGAGACATCGGGATAGGTTTGTATTGAAAAACATTAAGATTCATTTAATAATTTTGCCTCTATCTGAAATAATATAATTTGTTCTATGCCTTGATACTAAATAATTTAAATGTTTAATGACCTATGAACTTCCTTTCCTGTTCTCCTCAGAACTAGGCAGGGCTTATGATCTTTTTGTGTAAAACATTGCTAATTCTTTATGTTTTGTTTTGCCTTCAAAATTTGAAACTATTCAATCCCTGCAGGCCCAGGGACTATTGCATGAGATTTTAAGGGCTGATTTTGAGAGAGAAAATTATTTCAGACTCTCCAAATCGAGAACTAGCACACAGATGCCTAAACGGCTGAACAAAATGCTTGTGTTTTGTATAGCCAATTTCTACAAGTCAAAAATACAGTAGTTCAATGCATTGAATTTATAGAGAAGTCAATTTTAGAACCTTGCCTTTTGGCTTTTGGTTTTTGGCTCTTACATTGCTTAAAGGGGGTTTCCCCTCTGGCCTAGACTGTTTAATTAGCTATAAGTCTTTTGATTTTAAGTCCCTTTGCCAAAGGGGTTCCACTGAGGGACATGATGAACTTGGGGCAGATAGCATCAATATTGGACAAAATAAAAGCTTGGCCATTGATGCTACATCTAGCATACCTTGACAAAAGAGGCGGAATATAAACAGAAAAAAAATCCTAAGCCTCCCAAGAGACAGAATGGACCCGTTTTCCCTCCCCCACCTTCCCCCATCTTGGCCAAGAGGGATCCGAAAGGAACCTGAAAAACTGTTCAGTCCATGACAGAAAGCAGGGGGTTAGACACACCTTGCTACACCTTCCCCCTCCTTTGGAATTCAGGCACAACTGACCATCATTACCATTAAAATAGAGATCATAAAACTGACAGAACTTTGAAATTCTTTGTTTCCCTCCATTTCCCCATCAGGCGCTCCCATGCACAGCGCTTGCTTATCTAATTATGTGCTTGCTTAGAAATTCCAGGGGCTAGTTTTTAAACAAGCCAGGCAGAGAGACCCAGCTGCAGAATCCTCCTGCTCAGGGGGTGTTAGGAACAGTTAGCCCACCACCACTGGGTCGAAGTCAGGATGATGCCAAGTGGACCTCTGTAGAGCGATTACTCAAGATAACCATCAGAACCAGACACGCACACCTACACCCCCCTTTTCATGAGTCCCGCATATTCCCCACACCTTTTTCCTTCTTAAACCCCTTCACTCAGCCCAGAAGGCAAAGATGGTCTCTTTGAGGCTTTAGCCTGGCCATTCTCCCATCTGCTGGCATTTCACCACTAGAAGCTGCTTTCCTCTTGCCACACCTTGCTTCTTATGCTTTGACTTGTGAGCAGCGAGTAGCCGGACTTGAGCCAGTTACAGTAGTGCCTTCTCTAACCTGTTCCTCAGCAGAACATTTCAAGTAAACCATTTTTGCTCCTTACTAGTTTCTGTAATCTCAGTGGGTGTCTCCCTCAACAGACCTTGTCATAGCCCCATGTAATGGATCAGCTGGTAGACTGAAAAACAAAAAAAAGAAATTACCTTCCTTCTAGTTGCTGATCACCAGGGCTAGGCTAACTTCTTCCCCTTTTCTAACTCTTCCCATAATGCTAAGCATCCTAACCTCAATCATGGCACTATTCTCTGCTTAGCATCCTTCACCCCATTCTGTCCTCCCTCCCTCACTCTCTCCTTCCCTCTCTCCCTCCCCACCACCTTCCATCATGGTCTGACTGTGAGTTGGGGGGGTCTTCTGTTGATGATACTTTTTCCTACTTAAGAAATTGGGATACAAGGTAGAATTCACATACCATAAAACTCACTCTTTTAAATGGTAAAATTAAATGATTTTAAGTATATTCACAGGGTGCAACCATCATCATAAATAACTTTAGGACATTTTTTGTTTTGAGATAGAGTCTCCCTCTGTTGCCCAGGTTGGAGTGCAGTGACGTGATCTCAACTCACTGCAACCTCTGCCTCCCAGGCTCAAGCAATCCTCCTACCTCAGCCTCCCAAGTAGCTGAGACGGTGTGTGCCCCCATGCCTGGCTAATTTTTGTATTTTTTGTAGAGATGGGGTTTCACCATGTTGCCCGGGCTGGTCTCGAACTCCTGACCTCAAGTGATCTGCCTGCCTTGGCCTCCCAAAGTGCTAAGATTACAGGTGTGAGCCACCATGCTCAGCCCCTTTAGAACATTTTTAACACACACACACACACACACACACACACACACACACACACACACACACACATATAAAACAAAACAAAAAAACCCAACTCTGTACCCATGAGCAGTCATTCCCCATTTTCCCTAGTCCCCCCAGCCCTCAGTAACTACTAATCTACTTTATGTCTCTATGGATTTGCCTACTCTGGACATTTATTAAATGGAATCATTTAATATGTGGCTTTTTTTTTTTCTTGAGACGAAGTCTTACTCTGTTGCCTAGAGTGCAGCAGCGCAATGCTGGCTCACTGCAACCTCTTCCTCCAGGTTCAAGTGATTCTCCTGCCTCAGCCTCCCAAGTAGGTGGGATTACAGGTGCCCATCACTACACCCAGCTAATATTTTGTATTTTTAGCAGAGATGGGGTTTCACCATGTTGGCCAGGCTGGTCTCGAACTCCTGACCTCAGGTGATCCACCTGCCTTGGCCTCCCAAAGTGCTGGGATTACAGGTGTGAGCCATGGCGCCCAGCCTAATATGTGGCTTTTTATGTCTGGCTTCTTTTACTGATCATAATGTTTTCCAGGATCATCACCTTGTATCAGTACTTATTATTTATTTATTTATTTATTTATTTTTGTAGAAACAAGATCTTACTATATTGCTGAGGCTGGTCTTGAACTCCTGGGCTCAAACAATCCTCCTACCTCAGCCTCCCAAAGTGTTGGAATTACAGGTGTGAGCCACCATGCCCGGCCTCCATTCCTTTTTATGGCTGAATAATATTCTCTTGTATGAATGTATGACATTTAGTTTATCCGTTCCTCAGTTGATGGATTTATTTTTTCTACTTTTTGGCTATTGTGAATAATGCTGCTATGAACATTCATGCACAGATTTTTGTATGGACATGTTTTGCTTTCTCTTGGGTATATACCTAGGAGTGGAGTTGCTGGGTCATATGGTAATTCTACTTCTTGAGGAACTGCCAAAATATTTTCCAAGAGGCTGCACAATTTTACATTCCCACTAGCAATGTATGAGGGTTCCAGTGTCTCCACATCCTCATTAATACTTTTTATCATCTGTCTTTGATCATTTTGGCCATTCCCATGGGTGTAAGTGGTATCTTATTATGATATTGATTTGCATTTCCCTAATGACTAATGCTGAGCATCCTTTCATGTGCTTATTGACCATCTGTATATCTTATTTGGAGAAATGTCTTATTGTGTCCTTTGCCCATTTTTAAATTAGGTTGTCTTTTTGTTGTTGAGTTGTAAGAGTTCTTTACATATTCTGGATACTAGACCCTTCTCAGGTACATGATTTGCAAATATTTTCTCTCATTCTCTGGGCTGTCTTTTCACTTTCTTAACAGTGTCCTTTGACACACAAAATTTTTGAATTTTGATGAAGCCCCTTTAATCTATTTTTCTTTGATCGTGCATGCTTTTGGTGTCATAGTTAAGAAACGATTGTCAAGGCCATGCATGGTGGTTCACGCCTGTAATCCCAGCACTTTGGGAGGCCAAGGCAGGTGGATCACTTGAGGCCAGGAGGTCGAGACCAGCCTGGCCAACATGGCGAAACCCCTTCTCTACTAAAAATACAAAAATTAGCCGGGCGTGGTGGCAGGTGCCTGTAATTCCAGGTACTTGGGAGGCTGAGGCGGGAGAATCACTTGAACCAGGGAGGTAGAGGTTGCAGTGAGCCGAGATTGCGCCACTGCACTCAGCCTGGGCGACAGAGTGAGACTCCGCCTCAAACAAACAAACAAACAAACAAACAAAAAGAAATGATTGCCGAATCCTAGGTCATGAACGTATACACCTATGTTTTCTTCTGAGAAGGTTTTACACCTTTAGCTCTTATCCAATCCTATCTCTTTACCATTCTTCTCCCATTGTTTCTTTATCATCTTTTTTATTAAATCAACTTATCTTTACTTTCCTTCACATCATCTCAAATCAAAACTTCCAGAAACTTGCTTGCTGCTTCCCAGCTTTTCACAGTAGCTTGATTCCAACACCATGGGTTTGTTTCCAAGTAGTCTTCTCCCCACACCCCATATCCTTGTTCCTTATTTTCAGTTCATGTAAGCGCAATGACACAGTGACAAGCTCACACTGCCTTGCCAGCATCCACACTGGGCTCCTGCAAAAATGATCTTTATGGTCACTTGCTGTGTCCGATGATGTGAACCAACCTAGGCCAATTTGGCCAAGCCAACTCCTAGCTTTGTTTTGGTAGATGTTGTTTAACTGTTAAAAGTTTGAGGTCGATAAGGAGGTGTGTCTATGTATGTAGCAGAATCTGGAGTGGGGGAAGCAAGTAGCACCTCCTTTTCCACCTCAGGACACTCTCAGACAAAAACTGAGTTTAACACCAAAAGACTCTCGTTTTAGAACTAAAACATGCTTATCACAGTGACTGCGATCACTTTGAAACACTTCATCATAGATAGTGTGTCCCAGTGGTCGGCTGGCATCATATTAGAGGTGGATTTCAGAGGAAGGGACCACTTTTGCTATCATATCTAGAACAATACCTCAGGCTTGCTAAGAAGTAAATTTAATGTCAGAAATGAGTTTTCACTGATGAAATTAACAACTTGTTAATTAGTATGATGACTCTTAACGAAAAGCTCTAATGGTTAAATTAAAGATATTAATTTCCAAATTTGGATATTTTAAGGGATTTTTTAGTTACTGAGTTCTAGTTTAATTACATTTTAATAAGAGTATATACTCTGTATGATTTCAATCCTTTTACATTTATTGAGACATCTTATGCCCCAGTGTATGTCTAAACTTGGTAATGTTCCATGTACATTTAAAAAAAGGTATATTTTACAGTTTTTTGATGTAGTGTCCTACAAACGTCATTTAGATTAAGCTGGTTGATAGTGTTGTTTAAATCTACCACATCTTTATTGATTTTTTTTATCCATTTGTTCTATCAATTACTGAAAATGGAGTATTAAAATCTCCAACTCTAATTGTGTTTTTTCTGTTTTCCTTTTAGCTTTATCAGCATTTGTGGAATGCAGATAAAGCAATTCTTAGAGAAAAATTTATAGCTTTAAATGCTGTTATTAGAAAAGGAAAGAGGTTTGAAATCAGCCATCTGTGGTTTCATTTTGATTATATAGAAAAAGAAGAGCAAATTAAACCTAAAATATGCAGGAGGAAGGAAATAATAAAGATAAGAGTGGAAATGAAATAAATAGAAAGCAGATAGGCAACAGGCCGGGCCGGTGGCTCACGCCTGTAATCCCAGCACTTTGGGAGGCCGAGGCGGGTGGATCACGAGGTCAGGAGATCCAGACCATCCTGGCTAGCATGGTGAAACCCCGTCTCTACTAAAAATACAAAAAAAAATTAGCCGGGCGTAGTGGCGGGTGCCTGTAGTCCCAGCTACTCGGGAGGCTGAGGCAGGAGAATGACTTGAACCCGGGAGGCGGAGCTTGCAGTGAGCCGAGATCACGCCACTGCACTCCAGCCTGGGTGACGGAGCGAGACTCCGTCTCAAAAAAAAGAAAGCAGATAGGCAATAGAGAAAGACCTACAAAGCCAAAAATTGCTTCTTTAAAGTGAGTAATAAAACTTCTGGCTCAAAATATAATATTGAAAAACAATGACATGTAATTCAAGAAGGAGTAAATCAGTGGTAAAGTATTCTAAGGTCTTGAAATTTTCAGAAGGGGGTAGAATAATATATTAATTTTAAAATTTGTTATATATACATGCAGAGCCTCAAAGATTATCCCTAAAAAGAAAAGAAATGGAGCATGTAAATTCAAAACAGTATAGGAAATAGGAAATACAAATAGGAATAGGGAAAACAAATAAAAGAAGCCCAATTAGTAAAACAAAAAACAAAAAACCAAGAAAGAAAAACAAAGAAGCATGAAAAAAATGCAAAAAAGAATAAGATGATAGAGGTGCGTTAAAAAATAACAATAATCACAGAGGTGTATGGACTAAACCCACCAGTTAGAGGACAGAGATTTTCAAAATGGATTACCTCTCCCCCATCCAACTTTCTAAGAGATGTATTAAAAGTCAAAGAACGGCCGGGAGCGGTGGCTCACGCCTGTAATCCCAGCACTTTGGGAGGCCGAGGCGGGCAGATCACGAGGTCAGGAGATCGAGACTATCTTGGCTAACATGGTGAAACCCCGTCTCTACTAAAAATACAAAAAATTAGCCTGGCGAGGTGGCGGGTGCCTGTAGTCCCAGCTACTCGGGAGGCTGAGGCAGGAGAATGGCGTGAACCCGGGAGGCGGAGCTTGCAGTGAGCCGAGATCGCGGGACTGCACTCCAGCCGGGGAGATAGCGAGACTCCGTCTCAACAAAAAAAAAAAAAAAAAAAAAAAAAAGTCAAAGAACACAGAAAGCTTGAAAATAAAAAGATTTTTTAAGTGCCAAGAAAGCAAGTTTATGATATCAACATCAGATAAAAATATTCTTTTTTTTTTTTTTTTTGAGACAGAGTCTCGCTCTGTCGCCCAGGCTGGAGTGCAGTGGCACAATCTCGGTTTACCGCAAGCTCCGCCTCCCAGGTTCACGCCATTCTCCTGCCTCAGCTTCCCGAGTAGCTGGGACTACAGGCACCCGCCACCACACCCAGCTAATTTTTTGTATTTTTAGTAGAGACGGGGTTTCACCGTGTTAGCCAGGATGGTCTCGATCTCCTGACCTCATGATCCGCCCGCCTCTGCCTCCCAAAGTGCTGGGATTACAGGTGTGAGCCACTGCACCCGGCCCAGATAAAAATATTCTTTAAAGAAAAGTCATTACTAAGGATAGAGAGGGTATGTACATAAAGATAAAGTATTTTAATTCACCAAGATGATAAACTAATTTAAAACTTGTACATATCTTATAGCCTTAAAATGAATAAAGCAAGAATCAACAGAAAAAAGAAAAGAAACCCAAGAAGAACTTGACAAATCCACCACCATTATGGAAGATTCTAACATATTTCTATCATTGGTAGATCATGCAGAAAAAAGAACCTGTAAGAGTGTAAAAGATTTGAACAGTACTGCTAACCAGCTTGATTGAATGCTCATTTATAGAATGTTTTGCATAAGAATTAGATAATACACATTCATTTCAAACTCTTGTGGAACATTTGTGAAAAATGACCATGTATTATGCCATAATCAAGTCTCAATAAAGACCAAAGATTGAAATTATACAGATCACCTTCTGTGATTATATTGCATAAATTATAAATCAACAACAAAAAATAAATTATTAATACATTTGGAAATGAAAATGTTCACTTTTTATACAGTCCATTAGTCAAAGACAAAATTCTAATGGAAATTAGAAAAATGTTAAACTGAAAGATGATGACAATATCACATATTAAAACTTCTCACATGCAATTAAAATAGTACTTAGAGAAAAATTGATAGCCTTAATTTCATACACTGGAAAACAAGGGAGACTAAAAATTAATGAGCGAACCATCTATCTGAAGAAGTTAGGGATAAAACTGCAGCAGAACAAACTCAAAGAAAGAGAAGGAAGCTAATTACTATTGTCTGAATGTTTGCATCTCCCCCCAGAACCACATGTTGAAATCCTAACCCCCGGTGAGTTGGTATCAGGAGATGGGGCACTTGGAGGTGAGTAGGTCGTGAGGGTGGGGCCCTCATGAATGGGATTAGTGCCTCTTATAACAAGAGGCACAAAAGAGATTATCTGTGTCTGCCATGAGAGGGCATAGCCAGGAGGCACCCTCTATGAACCTGAAAGTGAGCCCTCATCAGACACTGAATCTGTTAGAGTCTTTATCTTGGACCTCCCAGCCTCTGGAACAGTGAGAAATAAATTTCTGTGTTTATAAGCTATCCAGTCTATGGTATTTTATTATAACAACCTGAACAGACTAAGACAGAAATAATAAAGGGTAGGCCAGGTGTAGTGGCTCACACCTGCAATCCCAGCACTTTGAGAGGCCGAGGTGGGTGGATCGCTTGAGCTCAGGAGTTGGAGACCAGCCTGGTCAACATGGCAAAATACCATCTCTACTAAAAACACAAAAATTAGTTGGGTGTGGTGGCATGTGCCTGTAGTCCCAGCTACTCAGGAGGCTGAGGTGGGAGGAGTGCTCAAGCACGGGAGGTCGAGGCTACAGTGAGCCATGAACGCACTGCTGCACTATAGCCTAGGTGACAGAGTGAGATCCGGTCTCAAAAAAAAAAAAAAAAAAAAAAAAGAGAGAGAGAGAGACAATAGCTTAGTAAGTGGCATAATCCACCTTTCTGGCTTCTCAGCATTTGTATACACAAATCTGACTTTCAAATAAGAGGATAGGCTGGGCGCGGTGGCTAACGCCTGTAATCCCAGCACTTTAGGAAGTTGACACGGGCAGATCACTTGAGGCCAGGAGTCTGAGACCAGCCTGACCAACATGGCAAAACCCTGTCTCTACCAAAATACAAAAATTATCTGGGCATGATGGCACACACCTGTAATCCTAGCTACTGGGGTGGCTGAGTCAGGAGAATCGCTTGAACCCAGGAGGCAGAGGTTGCAGTGAGCCGAGATTGTGCCACTGCACTTTAGCCTGGGCAACAGACAGAGACTCCGTCTCCAGAAAAAAAAAAGACAACTCTATGTTTACACTTAACAGGTTGCAACTATCCTTCATGCAAATGAAGACATTCTCAGTCTTTCCCCAAAATGGGGAGATGCAAAGATTCCAACAGCATTGTATCCATCTCCGGACAATGTTAATAACCCCTCAAATCCAGTCACAGTGCCGGCTGAATATTCCGTTATCTAAATACTGAATTGGAAAGTTAACTTCCAAGAAAACTTATCAAAAAATAAATAATAGGAAGGGAGAGAAAGAAGGAAAAAAAGTGGTTAACATATACAAACACATACACACACACAAACACAGCAAACGAAGAAAGAAAGGTACACAACTGCTACAGTCCTTGTTTCTGTAATAGGCCATGTGGCTGAAGTTGACATTCCAATTCTGTCTTCCACTCTTCCTTGTACATATCTTTTGCTCTCAACTGGCTAGGCCTCTTTGCCTGATGGAGTGACCTAAATCTTCATCCTGAGGTGTCTGGATCCTTAGTGGTCCTGCCTTTTTTGACTGTCATGTTTTTTCACTTATTTTTATGGTTGGACATGGAAGTCCTAAGGGGCATCCTAGAGCATCCTTGGGGGTTCAGATGTGGTCCTCCCTACCTCCACTGTGTGGCAGCAACCCAATTTCTCCTTGTAATAGGGATCAGTCGCCCCAGGCAGTAGAGTAACCCCTTTCTTCTCTCGGTTCAGTGGCATGAAGATTCCCAATGGCCAGCAGCAGTCCCAACATCCAATTCAATGGAGCTGCAGTTGTGTCCTCTGGTGGCAGGATTCCTCTCTTGGGAGCCATGACCATGACCTCCAAACCTGCAGAGCTCAGAGCTGTGGAGATGGGAAGAAAGATTCTGCACACAGGTTATTAGGTGTGCAGTGAGAGGAGCCACTCCCATGTCTATCTGGAATTCCATATTCTGGTGATAGGAGAGAAAGCACCACATACTAATTTCTGATCCAAAGCATAAACTGCATCCTGTTGATAGAAGTCAAATCCTTTCAAGTTCTTCTTTCACCCTGGACGATTCTCTCTTGAGAGATCATTTATCATACCAGAAATCTGGTATGGTAAAGCAGATTTTGGAGGCAAAGACAGGGAGGTGAGGCCTGAGGCTTGAGACAGAAAGAAAAGAGGACCGTAGAGAGAAGGCACACAGAGGGGCCCAGACTTTGTGTTGTTCATGTCCTTGAGTAAGGGGTTAGGAGGGATAAGAAGAGTCAATAGAGGAGTTCTTATAAGAAGAACAGAATTGCCACATGCATTGCTATAAAAACAGAGTCTCAAGGAGAGAGGGTCAGCACTTCCAGGCACCACAGGTTAGCCGGCAGAGAAGGATGAGCATGGCTCTGGGCATCCCTTGCTAGGGCACCCATTCTCTGTGAACTCTTGTGCCTGAATCTCATTGACTGGCTTTCGAGGCTTAAAGCAGAAAAGCACCGTGTAACTTGGCTTAGGAATTGCTCTTAGACAAATCTATAGATCCTGGTCTCTTAACATCTGCTTTCCCCGGAAGCCAGCAGTGGGAGCTCCCCTTTCTCCACTGATGGGTCCAAATGGAAGCGTTCCTGGGTATTTTTGGTTCTCAGCCCCATCTTCCAGCCTGGAGGGGAGGGTTGTAACAGTTCACAACATGAGCACTGGTGAAAATCCAGTTACTCCAGCAGCAAGAGCACAACCTATGAGAGGCAGGGGGGTTCTGCCCTCAGACTGGCTCTTGCATAGGGAGAGAAGACCTTGTGCTGATAGGACTCACCTGTTTGGCACAGGAGGCACCCATCAGCGCTGTTCATGGTCCTGAACTACAGCTGCTGGTCTCTCTTTTTTTGTTTTTGTTTTTTTTTGAGATGGAGCCTTGCTCTGTTGCCCAGGCTGGAGTGCAGTGGTGTGATCTTGACTCACTGCAACCTCCGCCTCCGGGTTCAAACGATTCTCCTGCCTCAGCCTCCCAAGTAGCTGGGATTACAGGCGCCCACCACCATGCCCAGCTAATTTTTGTATTTTTAGGAGAGATGAGGTTTCACCATGTTGGCCAGGCTGGTCTCGAACTCCTGACTTCAGGTGATCCACCTGCCAAAGTGCTGGGATTACAGGTTGAGACACCGCACCCGGCCCAGCTGCTGGTCTCTATTGCATTCTCCTTCCACTTTCCATAGAGTCAGTGGTGACTTCAGTCCAGCCTCTCCCAAGAATTGGGAATCAAGTTAGCAAGGACGTGAGAGGAGAGGGGAACATGGCTGGAATCCTTTGGAGAATAATGCTGCTGAGACATTTGCAGGGAGAAGAAAATGGGACTTTTTCTTTTGGTCATCTTTGACAAAGTTTTACAATTACCAAGACCTCTGAGAAGCTGGGAAGCGCATGACACCACTATACCACATCCCTCTGCTGGCAAGTTCATAGAAGGGGATGGAGACCTAGGACTGTGAATTCCAGGAGTGCAGGGTCCATATTGGACTCCCTTATCCCTTGTCAGTGTACAAGGCAGGCATTCAATAAGTGTTGGTTGAACTGATAAGATGTTGGGTGTAAGAGACTAAGTACAGGAATACCTCAGAGATACGGTGGGTTTGGTTCCAGGCCATCACGATAAAGTGAATATTGCAATAAAGCAAGGCACACAAATTTTATTGTTTCCGAGTACATATAAAAGTTATGTTTACTCTATACTGTAGCCTATTAAGTGTGCAATCGCATTATTCTAAAAAAGTACATACCTTAAAAATATTTTATTGCTAAAAAGGCTAATGATCATCTGAACCTTCAGTGAGTTGTAATCTTATTGCTGGTGGAGGGTCTTGCTTTGATGTTGATGGCTGCCAACAGATCAGGGTGGTGGTTGCTGAAGGCTGGGGTGGTGGTGGCAATTTCTTAAAATAAGACAACAATGGGCTGGGTGTGGTGGCTCATGGCTGTAATCCCAGCCCTTTTGGAGGCCAAGGTGAGTGGATCACCTGAGGTCAGGAGTTTGAGACTGGGCTGGTCAACATGGTGAAACCTCATCTCTACCAAAAATACAAAAATTAGCTCAGCGTGGTGGCAAGCACCTGTAATCCCAGCTACTTGGGAGGCTGCGGCAGGAGAATCATTTGAATCTTGGAGGTGGAGACTGCAGTGAGCCAACTGCACCAGTGAGCCAACGCCACTGCACTCCAGCCTGGGCGACAAGAGTGAAACTCTGTCTCAATAAATAAATAAATAAATAAGACAACGATGAAGTTTGCCACATTGATTGACTCTTCCTTTCATGAAAGATTCTCTGTAGCATGTGATGCTGTTTTATAGCATTTTACCCACAGTAGCACTCCTTTCAAAATTGGTGTCAATTCTCTCAAACCTGCTTTATCAACTAAATTTCTATAATATTTAAAATGCTTTGTTGTTATTTCAACATGTTCACAGCATCTTCACCAGGAGTACATTCCATTTCAAGAAACCACTTTCTTTGCTCATCTATAAGAAGCAGCTCATCATTCACTCAAGTTTGATCATGAGATTGCAGCAATGCAGTCACATTTATAGGCTTCACTTCTACTTCTAGTTCTCTAGCTATTTCCACCACATCTGCAGTTCTTTCTTTTACTGAAGTCTTCAACTCCTCAAAGTCATCCACAAAGGTTGGACTCAACTCCTTTCAAACTCCTGGTAGATTGATATGTTCATAATGGCACCTAGAATGATAAATGCTTTTCAGTAGGTTTCAATTTACTTTGCCCAGATCCAGACTTGAAAGCTGAAAGGACTCCTTGGTCCATGGGCTGCAGAATGGACATTGTGTTAGCAGGCAGGAAAGCAACATTCATCTCCTTGTGCATCTCCAGCAGAGCTCTTGGGTGACCAGGTGCATTGTCAATGAGCAGTAATATTTTGAAAAGAATATTTGAAAAGAATATTTTTTTCCGAGCAGTATATATCAACAGTGGGCTTAAAATATCCAGCAAACCACGCTGTAAACAGATGTGCAGTCATCTAAGCTAGAGCACTGGCAGAGTAGATTTAGCATCATTCTTAAGGACCCTAGGATTTTCAGAATGGTAAATGAGCATTGACTTCAACTTAAAGTCACCAGCTGCACTAGCCCCTAGCAAGATAGTCAGCCTGTCCTTTGAAGCTTCAAAGCCAGGCATTGCCTTCCCCTCTCTAGCTATGAAAGTTCTAGATGGCATCTTCTTTCAATAGAAGGTTATTTCATCTACATGGAAAACCTGTTGTTCACTATGGCCACCTTAATCAATGATCTTAGCCAGATCTTCTGGACAACTTGCAGCTGCTCCATCAGCACTTGCTGCTTCACCTTGCACTTTTATGTTATGGAGACAGTTTCTTTCCTTAAATCTCACGAACCAACCTCTGCTAGCTTCAGACTTTTCTTCCGCAACTTCCTCACCTCTCTCAGCCTTCATAGAATTGAAGAGAGCTAGGGCCTTGCTCTGGATTAGGCTTTCGCTTAGGAGAATGTCATGGCTGGTTTGATCTTCTATCCAGACCCCTCAAACTTTCTCCATATCAGCAGTAAGCCTGTTTCACTTTCTTATCATTCATGTACTCATTGGAGTGGCACTTTTAATTTCCTTCAAAGGCTTTTCCTTTGCATTCACAACTTGGCTAACTGCATAGTGGAAGAGGCCTAGCTTTCAGCCTATCTTGTTTCTTGACATTCCTTCCTCATTAAGCCTAATCATTTCTAGCTTTTGATTGAAAGCAAGAGATATGTGACAGTTCCTTTCACTTGAACACTGAGAGGCCATTGTAGGGTTATTAATTGGCCTAAATTCAATATTGTTACATCTCAGAGAATAGGGAGGCCAGGGCAGAGGGAGAGAGATGGGGAACAGCTGTTGGTGGAGCAGTCAGAACACACACAACATTTATCAACTAAGTTTGCTGTCTTATGTGGGTGTGGTTTGTGATGCCTGAAAACAATTACAGTGGTAACATCAAAGACACTGATCACAGATCCCTGTAACAGATATAATAATAATGAAAAAGTCTGAAATATTGTGGGAATTTACCGATGTGACACAGAGACCTGAAAGTGAGTACCTACTGTTGGGAAAATCATGCCAATACACTTGCTCGATGCAGGGTTGCCAAAAACCTTCCATGTGTAAAAAAAAACACAGCATCTGTGACTCAGTAAAGTGAATCCCAATTAAATGAGGTGCATCTGCACTCAGGATAAGTTATGCTTTCATCCCTCCTCTAAGGAGAGCAAAAGGGCTCAAATTTGAGGTCCAAGTATGTGTCAGGCATTTGATATTAGGGTCTTTCACTTAATTCTCATAGGAGATTTATCACAAATTTCCCAATCAAGATTCAGCCTCATAGAAGTGAGCCTCCTGAGTGAGACTCTGTGGCTCCTAAGTGGGGAATCTAGGGCTCGAACCCAGGTCTTGCTGATCCCATGTTTTTCTCACCATCACTGGATACTTCCTTCTTATGCAAGGAGAGAAATGCAAATTCTACAAAAGAAAAATGGGCTTGTGGTCTAGACAAGCATCTTGGTTAATGTCTGAGGGTCATGTTAAAAGCTTAGAAAGTTAGTTTTGTCTGCTGGGCATGGTGGCTCATGCCTGTAATCCCACTACCTTGGGAGGCCGAGGCGGGCGGATCACCTGAGGTCAAGAGTTCGAGACCAGTCTGGCCAACATGGTGAAACCCTGGCTCTACTAAAAATACAAAATTAGGTGGGCATGGTGTCATGTGCTTGTAATCCCAGCTACTCAGGAGGCTGAGGCAAGAGAATCGCTTGAACCCAGGAGGCAGAGGTTGCAGTGAGCTGAGATTGCACCATTGCACTCCAGCCTGGGCAAAAAGAGCGAAATTCAAAAAAAAAAAATTGGTTTTGTGATGGCAGCTGTTGCTAATCAGGGTATGGAGTCAGGAGCTTAGGTCTAGGGTTGAGCTCAGATCTCGACATGGACCAGGCTTTTCCCCTGTCTCAGTGCCTCATTTATGGTTCAGTTTCAGGCAGCAAAACTAATGAATGATTTCCAACCACAGAAGCCGTCACTGGGAGAGCCAATAAAGATACGACAGATCTGGCAGGAGAACAAGATCCAGCCCAGGTGATGGGGTGTGAGGCTTGGTCTTAGCTACAGGTAGGTCGTTTCCCTTAGCTCCTGGATGACTCAGCTTGGCAGCCACCCAGACTTCTATCAGGACCCAGAGGTGCTGCCAGCTCTGGAGCCATGTCAGGCCAGCTTTCTCCCCATGTCACCAGGGAATGGAGATTTTTCTGGTCTGCTGGGGCTTTTCCTAATTCTGCACGGTCGGCTTGAGACTGTCCACCTGTTGCTCCATCTAGGCTGCGTTGCCCTTATGAGCCGTCTTCACAAGGTACGTTTGGAGGATGTCAGGATGTCTTTCAAAGGATTTGTAGACATGCTTTAAAGTACTTACGGAGTCAATGTCCCCTTTGCTTCAAGCTTCTCTCCTACTGTAGGAAATAATGTCTACGGTGGCCCATTTCCAAGGCAAAGTGCCTCAAATAGGCTTGGGCCCACAACCTGCGGATGGACAGGATATACTAGACCCCTGCTGGTCAGGGCCCCCTTAGTTACCCCCACCCAAAGCAAAGCGTTTAGTCTAGAATGAAAGTTTACTAGCCTGAAAAATAGCTCACTTTATCTATTCTTATCAGCTTGCCTGGCCACCTGGGTCATAAGTCAAATACTTGAAGAGCACCTTAGCTGACTATGATTGCAGTGCATTATGGGCCACAACAAACTGCAGCGAGACAACCCTAAAGTAAACACCTAAAAGCCCCAACCCAACGACCAATAGGTGATGTCTGGGAAGATGGTGACCCCATGGTACTCAGCCTATGAGGAACCGGGGGAGGGACTTGCCTACTAGGGGATACATTGCTTGTTGTAACTGTACTGGGTGTGCCTGCCTACCAGACACCAGATCTTGCAAGACTGTCATTAAAAGTCTCACTTCTGGCTGGGCGCAGTGGCTCATGCCTGTAATCCCAGACTTTGGGAGGCCAAGGCAGGCAGATCCCCTGAAGTCGGGAGTTCAAGACCAGCCTGACTAACATGGAGAAACCCCCATCTCTACTAAAAAAAAACAAAAACAAAGAAAAAACCTACAAAATTAGCTGGGCATGGTGGTGCATGCCTGTAATCCCAGCTACTCGGGAGGCTAAGGCAGGAGAATCACTTGAACCCAGGAGGCGGAGGTTGCGGTGAGCCGAGATGGAACCATTGCACTCCAGCCTGAGTGACAAGAGTGAAACTCTGTCACAAAACAAAACAAAAACAAAACAACAACAACAACACAAGTCTCACCTCTGCAATTCTCTATGTCTCTAAGTTCATCCTTTGGGTTTGGACAGGTGAGCATGTTTCTCATATTACCCACACTGGTGGGCCCCGTAGGCTTCCTGGTTGGTCCAGGAGTGGATGCCTGATGCAGGCTGCACAAATCAGATTCTCTCTTCTGGAGATTTAGAATCGAGAACCAGTGGTTATCATAGGTTAGCCTTGGCTGTCAGACCTGGAAGGTGAGGAGACCCAGAGCTGAGGGTGCCCTTTTGGGACAGGTGTCAAATCCTTGTACAAACAGAGAAACCAGACTGACAAGGGGGTAGGATGAAGGAGCTGAAGGAGAAGCAGAGCCACAGAGGACCGGGCAGAGAGAGGGGCTGCCTTGGTGGGGACAGCCTGTAGACAGCGCCAACGACGTGGGGCTGGTGCTGTCCCCACTGTGGTCTCAAACACCAGACTAGTGCCCGGTCAGCACAGAGTTCAGGACAGTGGTGCAGCTGACACCCAGAAAGACACCGCAGTGGAAAGCCTGGCCTGACGCTCCCAGCTCTCTCCCTGCCATGCACTGACTCCATGTCCTGTGAGGAGGAGGTGGGAGGAGAGTTTTATTAGGGGAATTCATTTGTAATAATTGCCTAAGTATTTGCTACTTAGGAGAACATGGATCTGCAAAGGGTCCATGACCCTTTGAGTCAGAGTTTCACTCTTGTTGCCCAGGCTGGAGTGCAATGGCGTGATCTCGGCTCACTGCAACCTCCGCCTCCCAGGTTCAAGTGATTCTCATGCCTCAGCCTCCCAAGTAGCTGGGACTACAGGGGCACACCACCATGCAAGGCTAATTTTTGTATTTTAGTAGAGACGGGGTTTCACCATGTCGGCCAGGCTGGTCTCAAATTCCTGACCTCAAGTGATCCGCCTGTCTCGGCCTCCCAAAGTGCTGGGATTACAGGCATGAGCCACCACAGCTGGCCTGCAAGGGGTATTTTTAGGTGTTAGAAGCATCTCGAGGCATCCTTTCTCAACGTTTCACACCACAGACCACTGAATGGGCATTTGGCACATTCATAGATCATCAATTGTAATTCAAAAAAAAGTAGAGTTTCATCAATGATTTTAAATTTAAAGAGAGTGTTTGAAACATTAATTATGTTCTCATATCCATGAGATCTTCATTTCTTTCTTCCTCTCTCTCCCTCCCTTCCTCCTTCCTCTCCTCCCTCCTCCTTTCTTCCCTCCCTCCCTTCTCTCCTTCCCTTCCTCTCCTCCCTCCTCCTTTCTTCCCTCCCTCCCTTCTCTCCTTCCCTTCCTCTGCTCCCTCCTCCTTTCTTCCCTCCCTCCTTTCTCTCCTTCCCTTCCTCTGCTCCCTCCTCCTTTCTTCCCTCACTCCCTTCTCTCCTTTTTGCTGCTGCTTTGCTGTTTGCTGCCATCAGGGCAGGGGTGGAGCAGTAAGTGGGTTCCACCCCCAGCCACACCGTGATTGGCTCAGGAGTGGACACGTGCCCTGAGCCAGTCTAATCCATGCTAACCTCAGGACCTTCCTGGGAATTGTGGGAGACAGAGACTCTCTGTTGGTCCAGATAGGTGGGGCGTACTGTGGGCTTGGCGCTGCTGTAACAATTTTTCTACCACAGGAGACGCTGGTCTGAAAAGAAGGCAACGCAAGGAAGAGAACAGAGCCAAGGCACCTGCAGCGAGCCAGAGCCAGAGCCCTGACATCACAAATGCTTTAATTGGTTCCATTTATTGTTTAATCCACTTGAAATTGAATTTCTGTCATCCCCGACTGGAAGTGTACTGACCTGCATACTACCTGTGTTTCCTCACAGCAGGCTGAAAAGCTGTGCCAATATTGAGCTCATCCAGAATTAGACGAAGTTTGTATTCTTTTTATTACTTCCTTTAACCCTGAATCAGGGTCCAGAAGCATTTTGTTGACCATTAACTCTTCTCTGTGAATAAAGCAGCATGAGGAACAACCTCTTTTATTCACAGAGCAAAGCTCTTCGCTGCTCAGCCACAGCGGCTTCAACTCTGGCACGGGTCCTGAAGTGCCATTTCTAGCACATGACTCACAAAGTAAATAATCTGTAAATGAAAAGCCTCTTATCATACTTTGGCACGAAAAACAAAGCGACAAGCCAGGCAGCATTTTTCCCTCATATTTGAACCCCACATGCACCAAGGGCTGTTTTATGCCTTGCACATGAGGAGTTTGGTTTGCTCAAAAGCAAAGTATTGGCTAACATGTGTGTGCACTAGTAATTGCATTTCTGCTTTGTGTGCTCTGTTATCTGATAGAGGAGCTTTGTCAATATCCTTTGGATCTCTCTCCAAGCACAGTCTTCATTATGATCTGTGAGCTGATTTACGGTCTTCTTGGCAATTTTACGACTGATATCTAGGTGCATTTGCTAAGAGGACAGCAATTTAGAATGATGTTTCTGTAGCTTTAGTCTCCTCCGCACCTTTAATAAGAAGAATAATCAATTTTACATTAGAAAGTTATTTTGTGCTTATTCTGGAAAAATGGAATTGGTTGCTTTTTCTAAAGATAATGAGAAACACTTTTTATGGCTCCAGACTACTATATATCAGCATTTTCATTTTAACAGTAATATATCGAGGACTAGGGGCAAATGGATTGCTTGTCCAATAAATGAAATGTTCAAGTATTCCTCACTGAACTTAGACTCACAATTTTCATTTATGGTTGCATGTGTAAAATCACCACTCAAGAACTTGTTTGTCCTTGAATATATAGTTTTGTATTTCCATAGTTATATTGCAGAACCATTTACTCATTATGTTTACAGTGCCCTTCTGAGGATTTATGCTGCCATTTTCATCATTACTTTGCATTTTATAGAACCTCTTTTTAGTCATTGATCCATTTTGGTGAATTGGAGATACAGTGTGACATATCTACTACAATAACCATGAAAATTAAAAAATAACAGACATAAACTATAACTTGCAAGCGAGAAGCCCTATGTGAATATGATTTATTAATACTTTGTTTTAAGTCTCTTTCCCCTGGTTCTCACCTATTGAAGCTTTTTGCTTTTCTGTCAGCCAAGAGGTGCCAGGTAGGTAAGGAGCATACTGGGTAACTGTGTACTCCGTGCCCAGGCCTACTCATGCCTCTGTGGGCTGGGCACTGATGCAAACTTCTGCCAGGCATGGCCCTCTTAAGTGGACAGGGGATAGAAAAATAACCTAGAAATGATGACAAATGTGGCTTCTTTCCAATGATCACATCTCTTCCCTTTTCCTTGGCTTACTTATTGGTTCAGACCTTCACAAAGAAGTTGACCAAGTGCAGTGACAGGATGATGTGCTGGTCATCATCCTGTCGCTACACTGAAACATCCCTTTCTCCCTTTTTGGGCCCATGGTGGAGTCAGGCTTTCCCGCATCATTGAGGTTAGGTGTGAACACGTGATTTGCTTTGGCCAATGAAATGGGAGTGAAAGTGACACATCCCTGCCAGGTACAAGCTTTAACGGCCAGGGAACAACGTGCGTCATCACTGCCTTGACCCTGTGGTCAATGTTCCAGACAGGGGTCTGTGTCAGCCTGTGTCCCTTAGTGAGGACTGGGTATAGACTGCCCCTCTCCACTTCATGGATATTTAACTTAAGCAAGAAAAAGGCTTCATGAACTTAGGCCACTGAGATCATGGAGGTTTGTTCCTGTAGCATAACCCAGCCTCTTCTGTCCAAAACAAGTGGGTACACAAATCCAAAAAGGACAGAAATCCCTTTGCCCAGTTCCCTTCCTGAGAGCTGACACTGACTGGCACCCAGCCTCAGCCCCAAGCCCAGGGCCCTCGTTTATAGACACTCATCTGTGTCCAAGTTTTGTTCTTCTAGTTGCCATTCTTCCATTTTCTCTTTGCCAGTAACACACAAAAAATGAGAGATTTTCTCAGTATTGGTATGGATTTTCAATTAACAACAACAAAAACAACAAAATACTCCCAATATAATAATTCTTTTTTTTTTTTTTTGAAACAGGTTTTCGCTCTGGTCACCCAGGCTGGAGTGCAGTGGTGTGAACTCAGCTCACTGCAACCTCTGCCTCCCAGATTCAAGTGATTCTCCTGCCTCAGCCTCCCAAGTAGCTGGGATTACAGATGTGTACCACCACACCTGGCTAATTTTTGTATTTTTAGTAGAGACGGCGTTTCGCCATGTTGGCCAGGCTGGTCTCGAACTCCTGACCTCAGGCGATCTACCTGCCTCGGCCTTCCAAAGCGCTGGGATTACAGGTGTGAGCCACTGCGCCCAGCCTCCCAATAGGAGTGTTTAAAAACACTCATTTTTAAAAACGAGGCCGGGCGTGGTGGCTCACACCTGTAATCCCAGCACTTTGGGAGGCTGAGACGGGCGGATCACCCGAGGTCAGGAGTTCAAGATCAGTCTGGCCAACATGGCGAAACTCTGTCTCTACTAAAAATACAAAAATGAGCCGGGCGTGGTGGCAGGTGCCTGTAATCCCAGCTACTCAGGAGGCTGAGTCAGGAGAATCGCTTGAACCCAGGAGGCAGACGTTGCAGTGAGCCGTGATCACACCACTGCACTCCACTGTGGGCGACAGAGTGAGACTCTGTCTCAAAAATAAATAAATAAATAGAAACTAGAGTGTTGGGTCTAAGGGCGACAGTGGTAATTAAAACACAAAGATCAACGCACTGTTCAAAGATTCCCAGTGCGCGGCGCTGCTAGAGTCGCTGAGTCCTCACAACCCCGGCTCGTGGCGCGAGCCTGGTGCCACCCGGGCGGTGGTGGGAGTGTCGCGGCCCGGGGTGGGTGGGATTCAGGCTGCCGGGGGCGGGGGGGGGGGTTGCCGCAGAGGGGGCTGGGGAGGGCGGCACCCCCCCATTGCCCGTCCTGGGCCCTGCGTCCCCTGGCGGGCTGCGGCCAGAGCAGATGGCAGCACCGGCGCTGGAGGTGGCAGATCCCCGGGGAATGAGCAGCGGGATAGATCACTGGCTGCAGGGCAGGGGGCGCTGTGAGTCGCCCTGGCCGAGCTGTCGGAGAGGAGATTACTTAGCAGCTGGTAGTGAAAGGAGACGCCTGGGCAGATTGGAGCAGAACGGAGACTCAAAGCCGGGACTGGGGTGCCTGTTCTCACAGTCACTGACCCCCACCTGTTCGAAGACTGGCAAGATTCTGTGAATATGGGGGAGGAAGAGCCAATGATTCCCAGCAGAAGACGCAAGATTCTCCAGTGTCATAAACTGGATAGTATATGCAGAGTATGTGGAAAATGCTAGCTGGGTTGTTCCCCAAGCAATGCAAACACCATCGTCCCTTCCCTCCAAACCATGCCTTGTTTGTACCAAGGACTGCACAGAACTTGGAGTGTCACCGAGTGACAGAAAAAGGACCCAACACGGCGCAACCGCTCAGCCCGAGAGGCGGGTGTATTGTCGTCAACCAACATCTGAATGACGCTTGCAAACTGAATTTGCCGTGCAGGGTTTCCAACAGCAGGCATGTTTTCCAGATGCTTTGAAATCCTCTTTTAAAAAAGTGAATAAGAGGCCAGGCGCAGTGGCTCACACCTGTAATCCCAGCACTTTGGGAGGCCGAGGCGGGCAGATCACGAGGTCAGGAGTTCGAGACCTGTTTGACCAACATGGTGAAACCCTGTCTCTACTAAAAACACAAAAATTAGCCAGGTGTAGTGGCCCGCGCCTGTAATTCCAGCTACTCAAGGGGCTGAGGTAGAAGAATTGCTTGAACCTGGGAGGCAGAGGTTGCAGTGAGCCGAGATCATACCACTGCACTCCAGCCTGTGTGACAGAGTGAGATTCTGTCTCAAAATAAAATAAAATAAAAAAGTATACAAGGCTGGCTGAAGTGGCTCATGCCTGTAATCCCAGCCCATTGGGAGGCCGAGATGGGTGGATCACCTGAGGTCAGGAGTTCGAGACCAGCCTGGCCAACATGAGGAAACCCTGTCGCTACTGAAAATACAAACGATTAGCCAGGTGTGGTCGTGGCACCTGTAATTCCAGCTACTTGGGAGGCTGAGGCAGGAGAATTGCTTGAACCCAGGAGGGAGAGGTTGCAGTGAGCTGAGATCGTGCCACTGCACTCCAGCCTGGGCAACAAGAGCTAAACTCCATCTCAAAAAAAAAAGTAAAAAAAAGTACAATATTTTAATAAGCCAAAAGCCACCTTTTTTTTTTTTTTTTTTTTTTTTTTTTGAGACAGAGTCTTGCTCTGTCGCTGAGTCTGGAGAGCAATGGCATGATCTCGGCTCACTGCAACCTCCGTCTCCCGGGTACAAGCAGTTCTCCTGCCTCAGCCTCCCAAGTAGCTTGGATTACAGGCACCTGCCATCATGCCTGGCTAATTTTTGTATTTTTGTAGAGACGGGGTTTCGGCATGTTGGCCAGGCTGGTCTTGAACTCTTGACCTCAGGTGATCCATCCACCTTGGCCTTCCAAAGTGCTGGGATTACAGGCATGAGCCACCGCACCCAGCCACCACCTTCTTTTTTATACATCTTAACTGTGCCTCTCTTCCTTGTATTTTGTGGGTGTCATTTGTCTTTTCACAGCATTCAAATGTTTCTGTCTATTTGACATCAGTCTGTGGTTTATTTGTAGCCTTAAAAGTCAGATCTGGCCAGGCGTGGTGGCTTATGCCTGTAATCCCAGCACTTTGGGAGGCTCAGGCAGGCAGATCATGAGGTCAGAAGATCGAGACCATCCTAGCCAACATGGTGAAATCCCGTCTCTACTAAAAATACAAAAATTAGCTGGGCATGGTGGCACATGCCTGTAATCCCAACTACTCAGGAGGCTGAGGCAGGAGAATTGCTTGAACCGGGGAGTTGGAGACCTGGCAACAGAGTGAGACTCCGTCTCAAAAAAAAAAAAAAAAAAAAATCAGATCCACTTACTCTGAGATATTTTCCCCCATAACTTGTTTTTTCTTTCACAGTGCTGATGTGTTCAACAACATCTGAATAGTGGGAATTGGTGAAAAAGATCATTCTTGGACCCAAAGAAATTTTACATCCATTCCAAAACTTGTTTTATATAATTATAATTTTAATTTATAAATTTTAGATTTGGGCTAGTTTTGTATTGTCCAATAATTATTTTGACAAACGATTTACTTTGCTTTCTCAGGAATTTGTCAACTCATTTGTCTCATTTTTTTCTTTAAAAGTTTTTTTTTTAATTAAAGACTTTTTTTCAAAAGCAGTTTTAGGTTCACAGAAAAATTTGAAGATGCAGAGATTTCCCATATGTTCCCTGCCCCACACATGCAGAGCAGCAGTTTTTAATTTTAATCAAGTCCAGCTCATCAATTATTCCTTTCGTGGGTCAGGCCTTTGGTTATTGTATTTACAAAGTCATTGTCATAACCAAACTCATTTAGGTTTCTTCCTATGTTATCTTTGAGGAGTTTTATACTTTTGCATTTTACAATTAGATCTATGATCCTTTTTGAGTTAGTTTTTATAAATGGTGTAAGGTCTGTATCTAGAATCACTTTTTCTTTTCCATATGGATGTCCAGTTGTTCCATCACCATTTATTGGGCCAGGTATGGTGGCTTACACCTGTAATCCCAGCACTTTGGGAGGCCGAGGTGGGCAGATCACCCGAGGTCAGGAGTTCAAGACCAGCCTGGCCAACATGGTGAAACCCTGTCTCTACTAAAAATACAAAAATTATCCAGGCGCGGTGGTGGGTGCCTGTAATTCCAGCTACTGGAGAGGTTAAGGCGGGAGAATTGCTTGAACCTGGGAGGTGGAGTTTGCAGTGAGCCGAGATCGTGCCACTGCACTCCAGCCTGGGCGACAGAGTGAGACCCTGTCTCAAAAAAAAAAAAAAAAGAGGATCTTTGTGTCTTAGTCTATTTGTATTGCTATAAAAGAATTCTCGAGGCAGGGTAATTTATAAAGAAAAGAAGTTTATTTGGCTCATGGTTCTGCAGTCTGCAGGCTATACAGTAAGCATGGTGCCAGCATCTGCATCTGGGGAGGGCCTCAGGCTGCTTCCACTCAGGGTAGAAGGCAAAGGGGAGCAGGTATCACATGGCAAGAGGGGAAGGAAGAGAGAGAGAGGAGGAAGGTGTCAAGCTTTTTTAAACAATCAGCTCTCGAGGAATGAATAGAACAAGAACTCATTCACTACCTCAAGAACAGCAGCAGGTTTTTGAGGAGGGATCTACTCCCATGACCCAAACACCTCGCACTAGGCCCCAACTCCAACATCAGGGATCAAACTTCAACACGAGACTTGGCTTTCAACATGAGACTTGGCAGGAGACCAAGCAAACCATAACATTGTATTCCCTTTGCTTTTTTGTCAAAGATCAGTTGACTGTTTATGTGGGTCTATTTCAGGGCTCTCTATTCTGTTCCATTATCTATTTGTCTATTTCACCAATACCACATGGTCTTGATTACTATAGCTTTTAAATACGTTTTAAGTCAGCTAACTTCAGGCCTCCAACTTTGTTCTTCTCCTTCAGTGTTATGTTGCTATTCTGGGTCTTTGGCCTCTCCATATAAAGTTCAGAATGTTTCTTGATATCCACAAAATAACTTGCTGACATTTTGATTTAGATTGCATGGAATCCATAGATGAAATTGGAAAGAATAGACATCTTGGCAATATCAAGCTTTCCTATCCATAAACATGGAATATCTTTTCTTTTCTTTTTTTTTTTTTTGAGACAGTCTCACTCTATTGCCCAGGCTGGAGTGCAATGGTACCATCTCGGCTCACTGCAACCTCCACCTCTTGGGTTCAGGTGATTCTCCTGCCTCAGCCTCCTGAGTAGCTGGGATTACAGGCACACGCCACCACACCTGGTTAATTTTTATATTTTTAGTGGAGACGGGGTTTTACCATGTTGGTCTGGCTGGTCTCAAACTCCTGACCTTGTGATCCACCCACCTCGGCCTCCCAGCGTGTTGGGATTACAGGCATGAGCCACCGTGACCAGCCATATCTTTTCATTTATTTAGTTTTTTATTTCTTTCATCAGTTTTATGGTTTTCATTATATCTATCTTGTACATATTTTGCTATATTTATATCAAAGTATTTCTTTTTTTTGAGTGCTAATGTAAATGGTATTGTGTTCTTAATTTCAAATTCACCTGCTCATTGCTGGTATAAAGGAAAGCTATTGACTTTTGTATATTAACCTTGTATCTGGCAACCTTTATATAATTGCTTATTAGTTCCAGAAGTTTCTTTTTGACAATTCTTTAAGATTTTCTATGTAGACAAATGCTTTGTGGTATGAATGTTTGGATCCTCTCAAAATTTGTATGTTAGGCCAGGTGCGGCGGCTCATGCCTGTAATCCCAGCACTTTGGGAGGCCGAGGCGGGCGGATCACAAGGTCAGGAGATCGAGACCATCCTGGCTAACATGGTGAAACCTCGTTTCTACTAAAAATACAAAAAAAGTAGCCGGGTGTGGTGGCGGGTGCCTGTAGTCCCAGCTACTTGGGAGGCTGATGCAGGAGAATGGCATGAACCTGGGAGGCAGAGCTTGCAGTGAGCCAAGATTGCACCACTGCACTCCAGGCTGGGCGACAGTGCGAGACTCCATCTCAAAAAAAAAAAAAAAAATATATATATATATATATATATGTGTGTGTGTGTGTGTGTGTGTGTGTTAAAAACTGATAGCCAATGCAATAGTATTAAGAGGTGGGGCTTTTGGAAGGTGATTAGGCTCCACTCTCATAAATGGGATTAGTGCTCTTATAAAAGAGGCCAGAGGGAGCATGCTTGCCCCTTCCACCATCTATGAGGAATGGGCCCTCACCAGATACCAAATCTGCTGGCACCTTGATCTTGGACTTCCCAGTCTCTAGAACTGTGAGCAATACATTTCTATTGTTTATAAATCACTTAGTTTAAGATATTTTGTTATAGCAGCCCCAATGGACGAAGACAATGGTCATGTTATCTGCAGACAAAGACAGCTTTATTTCCTTGCTCCTGATCTGTATACCTTTTATTTCTTTTCCTGTCTTATTGCATTAGTTAGGACTTCCAGTAAGATGTTGAAAAGCAGTGTGAGAGAGGGGGCATCCTTGCTTTGTTCCTGATCTTAGTGGAAAAGCTTCTAGTTTCTCAATTTGCCTCAATTTTCACAGCTGGTATTTTGTCACTGGCTACTGGCTACCTGCTATGACTATTTCCCCTAATAAGTTAAGATTCGTTTCAATACAATGTATAACTCTTGAAGCTGGTGACTTTTAGGGAGGCATTGTTAAACAAATGCAAATAGTAAATCCATTTTATCATGAAAGCTGAATTTGATTTAGCATGCTCAGTTGCCAACTCCCTTTATCCATAATCTCCCTTTGCATGGAATAATTTTGAAACCTATTTGATTCAATGTTATTTTTTGAAGTATTTTCAGTTTTTGAATTCAGTGACACCTCTTCAATTAAATTTGCCTGTCTACCAATGACCACAGGATTGGACTCTAATCTTGCAAACTATCTGAATTTGCCTAGTGCTTGTATTCTGGGCAACTTGCAAACTTCCCAAGACTTCTATTTGTATAATGAAACAGGATACAGTTGTCACACTTTGAATCTGTGGTTATTTAATCTGATTCTGGAGCTCACTTGAGCACAATTAGAGGAAAGACTCTAAGAAGATTTAGTTTTTTTAAAAGAATGAGCCAAACATTTCAGGCTACAACAGTCAACCCTATATAGATAACAAACAATGTCTACCATCTCAAGCCTCCCAAAGTTGCAATGCCGGGGCTACCATTTGTGCTCTCTGAGTGGTGGCTGGACAAACTTGGGCAGCTAACCTTTACAATCCTACGTGCCTTCCAAATTTAAAAAAAAAGAAAAAAACAAAACAGACAAGAATTAGTGATTATAAACTCATACTTGCAGGCTTGAGGTAGACGCTATCCTGCGTGTTTTGTAAACTGGTGATATTTTACCAAGGGCCGAGGTAGGAGGAAATGGAAATTTGGTGTTTAATGGCTACAGAGTTTCCATTTGGGATGATGAAAAAGTTATGGAGATGGACGGTGGTGATGGTTGCACAACACTGTGAATGTACTTAATGGTGAATTTGATGTTGTGTGTATCTTACTATACATTACTTTTGTTTTTATTTTTATTTTATTTTTTTGAGACGGAGTTTCACTCTGTTGCCCAGGCTGGAGTGCAGTGGTGCAATCTCGGCTCACCGCAACCTCTGCCTTTCGGGTTCAAGCGATTCTCCTGCCTCAGCCTCCCAAGTAGCTGGGATTACAGGCGCGTGACACCACGTCTGGCTAATTTTTGTATTATTAGTAGAGACAGGGTTTCACCATGTTGGCCAGGTTGGTCTCGAACTCCTGACCTCAAGTGATCCACTCGCCTCGGCTTCCCATAGTGCTGGGATTACAGCGTGAGCCATTGCGCCTGGCCCATGCCACACTTTTTTAAAAGGCCTTCTGTGTGCTGATTCTGCTGCCTGCTCACCCCTGTTTCTGCTCCTCTTGGCCCTAAGGCCACCTCCCTGAAGCAACAGCAGGTTGCAGTTTCTGGCCTCTCCTCTCCCACACCTGGCTTCTACTCGCCTCTCTCCTCTGCTCGGCTCTGCTTTCTGCCTGCCATGCCTTTCTCTTCCTCTTCACCTTCTCATTCCACTCCCATCTTTCTGACTTAGGAACTGAACATTTGGGAATCAGATGCCCAATGAAAACCAGCTGTGGGAGTCATAGACGGTCTCAGCCCTTCCCCTCTCTTTTCTTTTCATTTGCAGCCAAGTAGCCATTAAGTCAAAAGGCACGGGGCAGGATCTGGGGACCCTGGAATTAATTATTGACATTTACCTTGGCTTGGCCCCCAGCAGCTTTGATGCAAACTCCACCCTTGTTGGGAGCCCCATCCCCTGCCCCACACCACCCAAGAGCATTTCTTTTCTTTTCCTTTTCTTTTTTTCTTTTTTCTGTTTTTTTTTTTGAGACAGAGTCTCGCTCTTTTCGCCCAGGCTTGAGTACAGTGGCGTGATCTCAGCTCACTGCAACCTCCGCCTCCTGGGTTCAAGCGATTCTCCCTGCCTTAGCCTTCGGAGTAGCTGGGATTACAGGCGCCCACCACCACGCCTGGCTAATTTTTTTGTATTTTTAGTAGTGATGGGGTTTCGCCTTGTTGGCCAGGCTGGGCTTGAACTCCTGACCTGAGGTGATCCGCCCACCTTGGCCTCCCAAAGTGCTGGGATTACAGGCATGAGCCACCATGCCCAGCCCTTAATAATGTTTTCTGATGATAAAAACAACACTCCCTCATCACAGGCAATTTGAAAAGCAGAGAAAAGTTGCAAAAGGAAATTATCCCTATTACCACCTAGAGATGGTGAATACTTGAATTTTTTGTTTAAACTTTGAATTTTATTTCAAATTGACAGAAAATTGCATAGAAAGAGGATCCGTATACCCTTTACCCAGATTCATCAGCTGTGAACATTTCCCCGGTATGCTTTAACCCTGTGTTTGTTCTATCAATCATGTGTTTCTCATTCGGATTATAAAATTGACACTTTGCTCTATTCTAGTGTTCCTCAGCTTTGGTCTCTTTGGTGTTTGACCACGATTATGTGACAGATGGAGCCTGGCCACCATGTCCCTGGCTGTACCCCAGGCCCCAGCCTAGCCCTCATTTGCACCATGGGGTGTGATCATCCCCAGCTCCCGGGCACCGTGCCATGGCAAAGTCAGGTGTGGCCATGCCAGGGCTGCGGGCAGCCTGCCAACAAGACTGCAGGTTCTGCCTTTATAGCAGGGCGTGCACCAGCGCTTCACTGTTCCTGCCTTCTGTCCTTGTGACCTTGTAAGATAAGGGCGTTGGGCAAGGAAAGTGCAGGTAGGAGCAAGGGAAATGAAGGAGATGTGAATGAAATAGTTCGATTCAGGTAGATCTGGGCATCACCAGGCCCGAGGAAAGGTGTATTTTCACTGATGAAGGAAACCATGTTTTTGTTGTTGTTGCTGTTGTTGTTTGTTTTTTGTTTGTTTGAGACAGAGTCTTGCTCTGTTGCCAGGCTGGAGTGCAGTGGCGCACTCTCGGCTCACTGCAAACTCCACTTCCCGGGTTCAAGCGATTCTCCTGCCTCAGCCTCCCAAGTAGCTGGGATTACAGGGGCGCACCACCACGCCTGGCTAATTTTTGTATTTTTAGGAGAGACGAGATTTCAACATGTTGGCCAGACTGGTTTTGAACTCCTGACCTCAGGTGATCCGCCCGCCTCGGCCTCCCAAAGTGCTAGGATTACAGGCCTGACCCATCGCACCTGGCCATCGCACCTTAAAACATTTAAGACATGTTTTAAATGCTGAAACCAAATGGCCAACGATCGTATCTAAAAGGGAAGATATAATCAGAGATTTTGAGACATCTTTTAGTTCCCTAGGAATGGAATCCTCCTGAAAATATGGAAGTTGAGTATTCTTTCTTTTTAGTTTTTTCAGCGACGTCGTGGATACAATTTCTTCAGACTTGTTCTACTTTATTCATGTTCTACATTATCAGAGATTCTGTGGATGCATCACTTTAATGACAGTTATAATATTTTAAGCATTGTTAAATTAGATGGCAGTTAGAATAAGAACAATCAGTAAGCTGGACTTAAGGGTTAGTAGAACACTCTTCTCACAGTTGACAGTGTACTCATAGGAAATAGTATAACCTTGGCTGAGGTACCTGCTTTTTGAGTCATAAGATCTGAAATAGGGACATTTTCTGTACATTTTTGTAAAGTTTGCTGAAGTAGTTTAAAACCCATTTTGACATAGTTTCAGTTCCACCTGAATCAGCATTCTGAAAAGAACATTCCAGGGGTTTCCTGAAACTTACAGAGCTGAAAAGCTAGTGTGCCTCCCGGAGTCAGGCTGGAGAAGCAGATTTGGGGGCTGCAGCAGAGGTGTCCTGGCTGGGGTGAAGGGCAGAGCCAGTTCCTGGAGGGAGGGAGCCCAGAGAAAGGGCAGGTGGCCAGGGCTGGGCTAGAGAAGACCTAGAAAGAGGCCAGGAGGAGAGGAGGAGCCTTTAGGGGAAGGAGCCGAGTTCACCACCCTGGAGGTCCCAGGAAGCAGAGAAAAGGTGACGCTGACTCACTGCTGCAGGGGTCGGGAGTACCTGGGTCTCAGCTCTGCCCTTGAGTCCATCACGCTTCGCCTCTGTCTCTGAGTCTGGCCTCTGCATCTTCCCGCTCCCATTACCAGTTTTGTTTGCATTTTCTGTCCCAGGAAGCTCTCTTTGGCCTCTGGAGCTGCGTATATCTGTAGACAGCGGACCCTGCTGCCACATGGCTGGGCCTGCCGCTTCTGTGGCTTGGTCACACTCACATGCACGTACGTGTGCATGAACACGCTCGCACACACCCACATGCATACACGTGTGCACACATGCATGTACAGGCACACACGCACACATGTGCATGCGTGTGTACGAACACACACATGCACACACGCAGAATCAGAAAAGGATCCTGCCCATAGCTCACCCCAGACTCCCCTGGGTGTCGCATCTTGTACCACCCAAAGTCAGGGTGTCCCAGCCCTCTCCAGGAGGCCTTTACTTCCCAGGCTCTGTCATTCCCAGAAGCAGGGGGCTAGCATGTGACAAGGAGTGCTCAGGCTCAGGTATGGTCAGTCTGGGCAGCAGGGACCAAATCCCAGTGGAAAGGCGCAGGCCGGTGAGTGAGTGAAGGCCTGGTGTCCATCTGATGCTTCCAGAGGGCAGGGGCCAGCTTGGACTTATCTGCACCACACAGGGCCCCAGCCCAGGGCTTCCCACGGCATGGGTGAACTGGGTCAGGTGGGCTTCACAAGGTGTGGGAAGAGAGAAGACGCTGGCCTGGGAATTGGCCACCTGGCTTTCTTTCCTGGCCCTATGGAGGGAAGGGAAGGAACATTGAACTCCCCCAAGTCAGGCCCTGGACTGAGTCTCCCACTCAACCGTAGAAGCCATCATGCTGGGAAGTGGTTTTATCCCCGTTGAAGAGAGGACACAGTTCCACTGAGAGGTGAGGTCGTGATGAATGTGTCCATGGGTGTGTGCGTGTGTGTGTGGGTGTGTGCGTGTGGGTGTGTGTGTGGGTGTGCATGTGTGCATGGGTGTTCGCACGTGTGCATGTGGGTGTGTGTGCATGTGGGTGCACGTGTGTGCATGGGTGGGTACATGTGTGCATGGGTGTGTGCACGTGTGAGTGTATGCATACATATGTGTACGTTGGTGTGCATGCATGTGTGTATCCATGTGAGTGCATTGTGTTCACGTAGGTGTGTGCATGGGGGTGTGTGCATGTGTGTGCATGTGTGTGAGTGTGTGTATGTGGGTGTGTGCATGTGTGTGCATGTGGGTGGGCGCATGTGTGGGTGTGTGCATGTGTGTGAGTGTGCATGTGTGTGCGCACGTGGGTGGGCGCATGTGTGGGTGTGTGCATGTGTGTGTAGGCATGTATTGAGGGGCTGGGAAGTCTAGTCAAGGTGGGGATATGTCCTGGTCCTATTGAAAGTCTCACTGCAGCACCTCTGTAGACACTGATTGTAGGGAGAAGATTGAGAGTCAGAAGGTTCTCCACCATCCCAGTGAGAGGTGATGGTGCAGGCTGTGGGGACAGAGATTAGCAGGCGAGTAGGGATAAGTTTGGAGGTGGCATTGGCAGGACTCAGTGATGAACTGGGTGTCAGGAGAAAGAAGAATCCTGGTAACACCTTGGGCTGGGGCTCAAGCTCACTGCTCGCTGGGTGAATGCTGGTGTCCTGTGTAAAGTTGGTGAAGTCTGAGGAAAAATACATTTTTGGGGGGGAACCCACAAGGAATCAGGAATGTGAATTATGATGCCCATCAGATATCGAGAGTGGATGCCCAGTAGGAAGTGGATGTCCGAGTCTCGGGCTGAGGCGAACTCCAGGACCGGAGAGGTGAGTGGTGTGCACATGGGGCGGGCCGATGTCTCCTGGGAGAAGGTGGGAGACACAAGTGGGGAGGACCCCCAAGTCTGGTACTGGTGTTTACAGATCCTGGAGAAGAGGAGGAGCTACTGAGTGAGCAGAAGAGAGAAAGCCGCGGGTCAGGGGTGTCACCAACAATGAGAGAGGAGGCGGCTCAGGAAGAAAGTGTGTTCAGCCGGGTCATCTGCTGCCGGTGGAGGGGCAAGATGAGAACTGAAAACTATCTCTTTCTCCTGGCAACCTGAAGGTCGCTGGTGGTGTGGCCAAGAGCAGTTTTCTTGGAGCGTTGGGGAGGGGACAGGAGCCAGATTGCAGGGGGATGAAAGTGAACAGGAGGCAGGAAACTGGGACAGAACATGTAGAAAGATTTTATATCTATAAATCATATATAATTTTTTTCTATGAAGGGATGCCAAGAATGGAGGAAAATGTGGCTCCACAGGGTGGAGATAGCAGTCCACGTGGCTTGCTGATGGGAAGGAGCCTCCAGTAGGGGCGATGGTGTGGAAAGCTACAGAGGGAAACCCACTGAAGGAGAGGCCGAGCCCTGAGCAGGAACAGAAGGCTGGGCTTTGACAGGGCACAGACTATGGCAGGCCGCGGAGTCAGGAATTGTGTCTGTTTTTGTTTGAGTCTGTATCCAGCTCCTAGAATAGCACCTGTCACATAGTAGCTGCTCAGTAAAAACAATGTTGCATGAATGAATATAGACACCAAAGGAGGCAGGGTTTTAGAGGTGGAGTGAAGGTGAGTGTGATCTTTTCTGCTTTTTGGTGCTCAGTGACGGCTGAGGTAGGGTCATGGGCTGAGGACTGGGAGGGGATTGGCTGGGAACGGGTGACTGCGGGAGCAGCTGTGCAGGAGAGGAGCTGTGCTCACTGTGCCACGGGAATGCCAGGAGGATTCATTTCTCATCCACTGGACAACACCAGCTGAATCGAGGCCCATCTTTCCACCCCTGAATTGCAGCTCCACCTTGGTCATATACCAGCTTCCCAAATATCCTTGATTCTGTTTGTGTGTGGCATTTTCCTCATCTCTATTTCTGCTCCTGGTGCATATACTACTCTTTTGATTACGGTAGCTTTATAGCATTCCTAGTTTCTTTTTTTTTTAGACGGAGTCTCACTCTGTTGCCCAGGCTGGAGTGCAGTAGCGCAATCTCGGCTCACTGAAACCTCCGCCTCCCAGGGTCAAGCAATTCTCTCGCCTTAGCCTCCCTAGTAGCTGGGATTACAGGTGCACACCAGCATGCCCGGCTAATTTTTGTATTTTTAGTAGAGACAGGGTTTCACCATGTTGGCCAGGCTGGTCTCAAACTCCTGACCTCAGGTGATTCCCCCGCCTCGGCCTCTCAAAGTGCTGAGATTACAAGCGTGAACCACCATGCCAAGTCAGCTTCCCTAGTTTCTGATATATTGTAAGTACCCCCTCATTTCCTTCAATCACAATTATTCTGTCACTTGGACTTAAATAACCCGTTTACTATTTTAAAAAAAGAAAGAAAGCTAAGAGCAGTCATGGTGATTCTATTTGCATTTGTGTTGTATTTCTGTCTATCAGTGTATTTGGGATATTTTATGTCCGTTAGTAAAACTGTTCCCTTCTTTCAAAATACAGGCTTTGAAACTTTGTTTTCTTTCAAAAATGTTTGTATTGGAGTATAACTTAGAGTTAATTGCAAAAGCTTAGGTTTGCAGTTGATGTAACCACCGGCCAGATGGGGTGGAGGCTTTCTCCAGAATCTCAGGTGGCTCATGCATGTCATTCGATTTGTTCCCCCTCCACTGGAAACTGGTGTTCTGACTTCTATTATCATAGATTAATTTTGCCTGTTTTTGAACTTCATAGAAATTACACAGTATGAATTCTTTTATGTGTGACTTCTTTTGTTCAATATTACTTTTGTGGGGTTCACTGATGCTTTATATGCCAGGAGTTCATTCATTTTTATTGCTGTGTAGTATTCCATTGATGGAGAGAGTACAATATATTTACCATGTATAACATATTCACAATATATTTTAATATATATTTTAAATTATAATATATTAAAATTACATTGTATATAATTTATATATTAAAATAATTTTATATATTATAATATATTTTAATATATGCCATTGTTGCTGGACAGACCGAGTTATTTCGAGTTTTTGGCTGTCATGAATAAAGCGAAATGAACGTTCTTTTTTTTTTTTTTTTTGAGAGTCTCGTTCTGTTGCCCAGGCTGGAGTGCAGTGGCACCATCTCTGCTCATTGCAACCTCCACCTCCTGGGTTCAAGGGATTCTCCTGACTCAGCCTCCCGAGTAGCTGGAATTACAGGTGCATGCCAACACGCCTGGCTAATTTTTGTACTTCTTTTTAGCAGAGATGGAGTTTTGCCATGTTGGCCAGGCTGGTCTCAAACTCCTGACCTCTGGTGATCTGCCTCCCTCAGCATTCCAAAGCGCTGGGATTACAGGCGTGAGCCACCGCGCCCAGACTGTGAACGTTCTTATGCAGCCTTTTGGTGGACATAGCATCTATTTCAGTTGGATATTATAATACCTAGGAGTGGCATTGCTAAGTCATGGAGTAGATGCTTGTTTCGCTTTAGTAGCTGCAACTAAACATTCTATGCTGCCCCTTTTATGCTACCATCAGCAATGTAAAAGAGTTCCATCCTTGACAATATTTGATGTTGTCAGTCTTTTGGATTTTAGCCATCCTGGTGGGGAGGGGCTAGTGGTATCTCACTGTGGTTTTACTTTACATTTCTCTGATGATTAATGAGGTTGACCACATTTTCATGGGTTCACAGGCCATTTTGATATCCACTTTTGTAAGCTGCTCCTTCAAGATTTTGGCCCATTTTATAATGGGCTCTTTTTCTTACTGATTTTCTGGAGCTCCTTATATATTTGGGAGATAAACTCTTTGTTAGGTAGATATAGTGCAGACATCTTTTCCGAGTCTATGATAGGCCTTTTCACTCCCTTACTCCCTTAATGGTGCTTTCTGATGAAAGTCTGTGCTTTTCTTACTAATTCCTGGTTATAGTATCGTTTTATTTCACATTGTGGATGAGGTTAAAAGTTGTTGATATAACACACACTAGTTAAGACAACATCCTGGAGAAGGGAACACGGCGCAGAGGATTTTCTCCTCTAGGCTGCTTCCGGTTTTCGGAGTCAGTCATACTGACCCTCTGGTTTTAGTTCCTTGGGTGGTTTCCTCGGGGAACCACTATTTCTTGATTTACTAGCTCTTGATGGTATCTACTGCCTTCCCTCCGCGAATATGAGAGTTTCGCTCTTATAATTCTCCAGAACTTCCCCTCCCCTCCTCTCCCCTCCTCATGTAGTTGCATCAGTGCCCTCAGGTCCCCCGTGGGCAAACGCCCACAGCTTCAAGTGCTTGCTGAAACTCAACAAGAAGCAGAATCACTTGACTCAACCTTGTGAATCAGCCGCTGACACTTCCCTCACTCCTCTTCCAGCCTCCCTCCTCATTCCATCTTGACCTCTTTCACTTTCGCCTTCACATTATTAAGGTTGAGAATGTTTATATTAATTTTGTGAACATATCTCAGCCTCCCATGTCCTGTCTATAGATTGAATCTAAATGTTGAAAACCCAGTCTTTGGGGTTTACATCACCGTACTTATAGGAACGTGCATCTCACCAACCTCGGTCATGATGACTTACCTCTCCCGAATCTTCCTGTCTTAATGCCGTTCCAAAAAACATCTTCTTCATGTGGCAGCCAAATGGTTCCACCTTTTTGATTTTCCACCGATGATGCTTACAATCGTGCCATGATCTTGTTGGCCTCCTCCTTGGACCATGGCTGTAGAGTGTGGAAAGGTGTTAACTCTTCAACCTTTTCTGTCTGTCCAGTGTAGAAAAGGGTTAACCTTTCCACTCTGTGAGCCGCCCCCCATGTTTCCTTTTTTTTGAGATGGAGTCTCACTTTTGTCACCCAGGCTGGAGTGCAGTGCCACGATCTCAGCTCACTACAACCTTCGCCTCCTGGGTTCAAGTGATTCTCCTGCCTCAGCCTCCCAAGTAGCTGGGATTACAGGTGCCTGCCACCACACCTGGCTAATTTTTGTATTTTTAGTAGAGACGGGCTTTTGCCATGTTGGCCAGGCTGGTCTTGAACTCTTGACCTCAGGTGATCCACCTGCCTTGGCCTCCCAAAGTGCTGGGATTACAGGTGTGAGCCAGCGCACCCAGCTTCCCCCACGTTTCTAGGTAGCCATGGTTAGTTTCTTTTGCTTGCAACCAAAGATCTCTAATAGGTAAAGAAGGTGATCCAAGATTCCAGGAAACAGGAAACAGAAGGAACGTGCTGTGGGGAGATGAAACAGAAGCTCCGGGTGAGACCAGGGCAGCACTGACCACTCCACAGCACCTGGCTGTGTAGCTGCTCTGGGTTGGACTCGCCTGCCCAGCATCCCTTCCTCTGCTGCCTTTGGGGAACCGCCTCT
The DNA here is from genome assembly GCF_000001405.40 of Homo sapiens. Lineage (NCBI taxonomy): Eukaryota > Metazoa > Chordata > Mammalia > Primates > Hominidae > Homo > Homo sapiens. Next base: position 58,630 of record NW_003315972.2, read on the forward strand.
CCTTTGATTGTCATCTTGATTGATTTGTGGACAAGACAACCCAGGCCCCTGCCCTCTCCAGGACTAGGGCCAGTTCAGAACCCAAACCCAATCTGACTCCCCTGGAGCTCTGACTCTGAACAAAATAAGACAAAACCAGAAAACACGGTCAGAGCAATGTGGATCCCAGTGGTTGAGACCTCCAGGGCTGTGCATGGGTTCCTGCTCCTGGACCCTGCACTGTCACTCGTTCTTGTGCTTCCTGAGCCCAGATTCTGTAATTTACCCTTCAACCCCGTGAGCTCTGTTACGTTTCTCGTTAGCTATGGTCCACTTCTTTTGCTTGAAACCGAAGATCCCTAATGGATAGAGAAGGTGATACAAGATTCCAGGAAACAGGAAGCAGAGGGAATGTGCTGTGGGGAGACAGAGGCGCCACAGCCCCCTATCGGCGACACCTGGCTCCAAGCAGTTTTTTTCTCTGGTTCTTAAGCCTCTCTCCTCCCCGACTCACCCTCCCTCCCTGAAGGTGTCTTCTCTGCTTTTGCCTTTGAGATGGCCTCTTCCTTCCCCTTTTCTGGTCTCCTTCCCTCTGGGTCCCTGCCCTGTCCGAGGCCTCAGTGCTCCCTTCTCTGATGATGCCTCCCAACGTTGACTCCAGCTGAGCTTCTCAAAGCTCCTTCTCCTGGCCAAGAACATTTGGTGTCACCTTCTACCCTGTGCTGACTCCTTCCTGCTTGGTCCTGTCGCCTTCCTGTTTGGCCTTTTGGTCACACTTGTCTTTCCTCAGTAGGGGCTTTGGAGCCCAGCAGACCTAACCTCAAGTCGAGTTTCTGCCTTTTCTGGGCTGTGTCTTTGCACAGTGGCTTCACCCGTAAAACGAGGGTCATGACGCTTGCCTTCACTGCAAGGAGATTGTAAAAGTTAAATAGGAGCCTGTGTGTGGAGTGCAGATACAAAAAGTGATCAATGTTCCTCTGTAAACAAAAACAGAGAAAAAAATCCTCCCACGACCCTTTACCACCACCTCTTGTGAATCTAAAGGTCTCTTGCTGCTGTGTTTTTGAGCATAAATCTGTTTATTAATTTATCTCTAGGTCATTTCTCTCATTTCCTTCCTTCCTTCCTTCCTCCCTCCCTCCCATCCTTCCTTCCTTCCTTTCTTCCTCCCTCCCTTCCTCCCTCTCCTTCTCCTCGCTCCCTCCCTCCCTCCTTCCCTTCCTTCCTTCCTTCCTTTCTTCCTTCCTTCCTTTCCTTCTTTTTCTTTCATCTCACTCTGTCATCCAGGCTGGAGTGCAGTGGCGTGATCATGGCTCATTGCAGCATTGACCTCCTGGGCTCAAGTGATCCTCCCACCTTTCAGCCTCCTGAGTAGCTGGGACAAGAGGCACGCACCATCCCGCCTGGCTAATTTTTGTATTTTTTGTAGAGATGGGATTTCACCATGTTGCCGAGGCTGGTCTCGAACTCCTGTGCTCAAGCGATCAGCCCTCCTTGACCTCCCAAAGGACTGGGATTACAGGCGTGAACCACCATGCTCAGCCCTTTCTCTAGGAATTGTGTGTAAGCTGACGAGATTTCAGTGTGTGCCTAGCCCATCCTTTTGAAGGCTAGGGTTGTCGGTGGTTCTCAAAGAGAGTCCAGCCTCTTGATACCTTGGTCTTAAAGCTCAGGAATCTCGAAGAATTAAGCTCCGTTTAGGCCAGTCCTCTGTGTTCACTCCATGTTCCACTCACAGGGGCTGCTTACCACCCATGCTTCCCTTTTGCCCTCCTTCCCCTCTCCTGGGATTGGAGAGCTCATGGAAGCACCGATTCTGCATCTCATCAGGGCACCTGCTGGGGACCACTCAGGAAGGGTGTGGGAAGGTGGCCTTCGGCCGCTGGTTCAGATTTGATTCTGAGAGCAAGGGGGTGGGAAGATCTGGGCTCTCTAGAACACTGCTGTGCCATTAGTCTCCTGAAAGTCACACAGGTGGCAAATACACGCCCCAGGTTGGGCTGTCTCTCGGCTCACCTATGGGGCCCTCGCTGAACAGAATTGACTATGACAAGTTCAATATCATGCACTCAGATACCTCTGCATGCGAGACCCCTTGTGTCATGATTGTCTCTGCCATTCACAGCCCTCCAGCCTGGCTGACTCCTATCTGCCTTTAGGATTCATTTCAGGGACCACCTCCTCAGGGAAGCCTTCTCAGATAGCCCTGTCCCCTCTGGGTTGTGTGAAATGCCCCAGCTCTAAGCACCCCCACCTCCCCAGCACATTCCCCTCATCGTGTGGTGGCCACCCATTTTACCCAGGGATGAAACTAGACTCTCAGTGTCTTGAGGACAGAGTTGGTGGCTATTGATCTGTAGGGAGCGAAGAAAAAACTTCCCCTTCGCCCTCTGAAGTTTTGCTGAAAGAGGAACTCACAAAAGGCAGACAACTTGGCCAGGCGTGGTGGCTCACCCCTGCAATCCCAGCACTTTGGGAGGCCAAGGCGGGCGGATCACCTGAGGTTAGGAGTTCGAGACCAGCCTGGCCAACATGGTGAAACCCCTTCTCTACTAAAAATACAAAAAAATTAGCCAGGTCTAGTGACAGGCTCCTATAATCTCAGTTACTCAGGAGGTCGAGGCAGGAGAATTGCTTGAACGAGGGAGGCGGAGGTTGCAGTGAGCTGAGACTGTGCCACAGCACTCCAGCCTGGGCAACAGAGCGAGACTCCATCAAAAACAAAAACAAAAAAAAAACAAACAACAACAACAACAAAAAAAAAACAGACAAATCGGAGAAAAGGCATGCATGTTTTATTTAACGTCTATGATGGAGCCTTCAGAATGAATACCAAAAGATACAGGGGAAGTCATCCATTTTTATGCTTAATTTCAACCAGGTATGGGCAGCCATGTAGAAATATAATTGGACAAAAAGGGTTTGATCTAATGCTAATAGACTGAGGGGGAAATCCAGCAGGGCTTGTCTCTCTAGATTCTTCTTGGCCTCTTTGAGCAACATTCCTTCCTTCTGGGTGTGGGGCAAGGCCCTCTCTGGACTGGGAGTCTTACGACCTACAGTCAAAATAGGTCAGAGAATTTCTTCTTTCTTTCCTGCTTGCTTGCTTGCTTGCTTTCTCTTTCTTTTCTTTTCTTTCTTTCTTTCTCTCTCTTTCTTTCTTTCCTTCCTTCCTTCCTTCTTTCCTTCTTTCCTTCCTTCCTTCCTTCCTTTCTTCCTTTCTTCCTTTCTTCCTTTCTTTCTTTCTTTCTTTTCTTTCTGACAGGGTCTCACTATGTTGCCCAGGCTGGAGTGCAGTGGCACAATCTTGGCTCACTGCAACATCCACCTCCCAGGTTCAAGCAATTCTCCTGCTTCAGCCTTCTGAGTTGCTGGGATGACAGGCACCCACCATCATACCTGGCTAATTTAGATATTTTTAGTAGAGACAGAGTTTTGCCATGTTGGCCAGGCTGGTCTCGAACTCCTGACCTCAGATGATCCACCCACCTCGGCCTCCCAAAGTGCTGGGATTACAGGCATGAGCCACTGCACCCAGCCCAGAGAATTTCTTTATGAACAGTTTTTATATAGAAAGGCAGAGAGAAAGTTAGAATAATATTTTCGGGTTTTATGGCTGGTTTGGGGGGAAAAGTAATATTTTAGGTTTTATGGCTGTTTGCAGGGTGGGGGTGGAAAGGGGATTCGACTTCCTATGGCCAGCTTAGCAAGAGAATGAGACTGAGGACAAAAGGGCATGCAAAGTTCAGAGAAAAGCTATTGCTTCTGAGGCTGCTTCTCAGGCCTTCATTTTGAGATATTGTTTTCTGCGTCCCAACACGTTCTTTCACTGAGTTTTCCCCCAAACATTGAAAAAGCACTGACCATGTGCTAGGAGTTCAAAACCAAAAAGGAGGGTTGGTTTTCGTCAAATGGGAGATACTTTCAAAATGTGTGGCTCATGGCAGGGAAATGAGAGCACTGGGGACTACTGGAACAGAACCGCCTGGCCCGGGAGAATCCAAGGAAGGCTTCCTGGAGGAGGAATGGCAGAGCGGACCTCTGCTACTGCAGCAGGAATGCCCCCAGCTGCTGCTGGGGAAGGGCTTATGTTGGCTGGGTTTGCCTTTGGGGCAGAGTGGCTGGCTGCTCCCCCTGCCCAGCGAGGGTAGTTCTGGGGAGAGTTGCCACGCTCGGACCCCATTTCCCATCATCCCCAACCCTTTGCATTGGTTCTTGCCAGCAGATGTGAAGATAAAAAGCTGGCCAGACTTCCCACTCTCCTTCCGCTTCTATCCCTGTGCGCTGAGGCCTCCGAGGAGCCCTCTGAGGCTTCTGATTTGCGACCTGGAGGAAATTGCCCGTGTGCTCGGAGGAATGCCTGCATGACACTCTTGTGTGAGAGAGAAATAGACGTCTTTTGTATTAAACCACTGCAGTGTCGGGGTTTATTTGTTCCCTATGCAGTGCCTCTTACTTCACCAGCACCCAGCCTAGCAGATCGCTTGAGCTCTGAACCTCTGGTGGGGCTGAATGGCGGGATTAGGAAGTGATACCAGTCTTTGAAAGTCTCCCTCACTGAGTCACTTGATCCTCATTCACTCAGGGCTCATAAGCCGAATACCTGGCGCTGATGATGCAGAGATGACACTGCCCTGCTCTTACAGGAGGTACAACCCAGTGGAGAGAACAGGCGGAAAGTCCAACAGCCACGCCCCCCTCTCTCTACTCACTTTCCCCCAGGGTCTTCCTGGGCTGATGTTTCCTAGAGAGTTGAGGGAGATGTTCCAAGCTGAGCAGGTGAAAGGGACAGTACCAGGGAGAGGGCCATCGGCCAGAGAGGTCAGCGGCAGGTAGGAGCAGGGACATGTCGTAGGTGGAGGAGAGACATTGGTCCTGGGGCTGCCAGGGGCTGAAGTGTTGATGTTAACTGCCGGGATCACTGTCAGCCAATCAGGGCTGCCACGTACAGTTGCTCAGCCTCGCACTGCTCAGGGAGGATGAGTAGAGGCTGGCACCTGGAGAAATGTGACTGTACAGAGCAGGGGTACTTTTCTCTGACTATCACAAACATGCCAAATGAGTCAGGTGCCCTGATACCAGTGAACTCAGGGTCAGCACTTAAACTCATTGCTTATTAGTGATGAGACTTCACAGAAGTAGGGGTGAGAAGTGGGGGTGAGGGTAAGAGGAATAATGGAGCCACTTCTGCTGCTGCACATGAGTGGCACCTTCTTGCTTAAGCCTCACGGCAGCCATGTGGGCAAGGGGTTCTTCTGGTGCGGGGGAGGGAGTTAAGGTTAGGTGGCTTGCCTAGATCTATATTCGGGACATCTCAGAGCCTCAGCCTCCCCGTCCATGTAATAGCAATTGATCGACTCCCTCTGAATAGGGTGAACCTCTGTCCCTTTTGCCCTGGATGGGGATGCTCTAGGCCTGCTGTCCCTGCCATGGGTGACAGCACCCCTGTCACTCTTGAAAAGGTCCAGGTTCAGATGAAAAGTGCCACAGTGACCCTACTTCCAAGGCAAGGTATGAGGCTAGAAATGACCAATTGCCAGAAAGAGCTTGCCAGGGCAAAGGCATCACCTGGCAACATAGTCAGGGAAGACAGAGCCTGGGAGGGAAGCGCTGGGGCTGCCCAGAGAGGCATCTATCCAGGAAGCTGCACAGAAGGGGCTGAGGGTGCAGCTGAAGGACAAGCACCTGAATTCAAACTCTGACCTCACTCACAGAGCTCCCCGCTGCTGGCCAGCCCTGGTCAGAGGGACAGGCCAGGCAATAAGAGGAGAGCCAGCAGTGAGTCTCCCTGTTGGAAAGGGGCCACACATATGCAGTCAGGGGGCCTTGGGAGCAGCCCTGTCCCCACCCCTTCCTGATCCCACCCCACTAGAGAGGGAGCCCAGAGGTGGGTAAAGGGCCTACCATGCCCCGCGCCACTTCCTCCTGTGTGTCCTTGGCTACAGGACATCCCCTGCCTGAGCCTCAGCATCCACATCTGGAAGCTGGGAGTAATGAGAGTTGCTCACCTAGGGGGATGGGGTGAAAATTAAACAAGATTCTGCCGGCAAGGTCCTTGGGTTTGCCCACAGCTCCTCACAGCCTCCCTCTCTCTCCTATCTCTCACGTCCCTCCCTCCTCTCCCGTCATTGTCACTGTCCCCAGACCTCCTCCCTGTGCCCTCTTTCCACTCTCTCACCTCCTACTCCATTCAACTCCCCTGCTTTTCCAGAATCAGGGAAACTGAAGGATGGGCCTCAGTCTCTAAGGAAGGCAGAGACCTGGGTTGAGCAGCAGAATAAAAGATCTTCTTCTAAGAAATGCAAACAGGCTGTTCATCACCATCTCCAGGTGTTCACAGACACCAGCAAAGCAATGCACTCCTGACAAGTAGATTTTTTAAAAAATCAGAGTGAATTAATTTTAATTAAAAATTTATCTTATGTTTTGGCCGGGCGTGGTGGCTCACGCCTGTAATCACAACACTTTGGGAGGCCAAGGCAGGTGGATCACCTGAGGTCAGAAGTTCAAGACCAGCCTGATCAACATGGTGAAACCCTGTCTCTACTAAAAATACAAAAATTAGCCAGGTGTGGTGGTGTGTGCCTGTAATCCCAGCTACTCAGGAGGCTTAGGCAGGAGAATCACTTGAACCCGTGAGATGGAGGTTGCAGTGAGCTGAGATCCAGCCTCGGCGACAGAGAGGGACTCTGTCTCAAAAAAAAAAAATTAAGTTTCAAGAATTAAATTGTATGATTATGGTTAATACTCTGGGAATAGCTTTCGATTTATTAATGAAATGATTGTTTTAATTGGCTTTGAAGCTACACTTCTAAAATAAAATGTTAAGAATCTTCCATAATTTGTTAGGTAATTGTACCATGAATTGCAAGTGTGTAAATAAACACTAGGAAATGAATAAATGTCATTCCTTTTGGAGTGGACCTTCATGTGGGGCAAAAGTCACACTAACTCCTTCTGGGATGAGAAAACACAGCTAACCCTTCCGGGACAAGCACCTGAATTCAAACTCTGACCTCACTCACAGAGCTCCCCACTGCTGGCCAGCCCTGGCCGGAACCGACAGGCCAGGCAATAAGAGGAGAGCCAGCGGGGAGTCTCCCTGTTGGAAAGGAGCCACACGTGTAGTCAGGGGGCCTTGGGAGCAGCCCTGTTCCCACCCCTTCCGGATTCCACCCACTAGAGAGGGAGCCCAGGTGGGAAGGGTTCCACATGGAGGATGGACTCTGCCCCTGGACAGCAGCCCCCACTTCCCAACCTCAGCCATGGTGGGCACTGGTGCTCTCTTGCCTTTCCATCTGCAGAGCCTGAAGCCCCTGGGTCCAGCCTCCCGGCCCTGGTCACCCTGGACGACAGGATTGTCCAGAAAGGGCAGCCTTCCCCAGGTCTCCCCTTGGCAAACTTCTGCTCACATATCTGGGGCCAAACTGTGCCACAACGTTGACAGTGACTATATGGGCCTGGGGGAAAATAATTATTTAGTGGAGGGGATTAGAAGCAGCAGTGAGAGGGGATGGCGCAGGAGGGCAGGAAGAAGTCTGGCAGCCGTTTAGGCCCGAAGGGAAGAGCTAGTAGACTCAGATCCATGGAGAGATGGAAGGAAAGGAGAAGAGAGGAGGGAGGAGAGGGGCAGGGCAGGGCTGCAGGCAACTGCGGGAGGACAGGAGGCAGTGGACACGAAGGAGCCAGGAGGACAGGGGCGTGGGAACAGAGGGAGCTGGAGGGAGGTCTGTGGCTGTGGGGACCAGCAGAGCTGCCTGAGGGGCTGAGTAGGGTTCGGTCATTACATACAACAAGATCCAGGCCTGCGACCACGCTCAGGATCCAGGCTCTGCCCCCACATCTGCTCCTGCAGACGCAGCTCTCCTGCTGGTCACCTGGTGGCCCCCAGAGGGATGGCTGGCCATCTCCAGGCACTGGGCCTCATCCCAGGGAGGAAGAAAGAGGTCGTGGCTAAGCTGTGAGTGAGCCCCAGGGGACAGGGGGCCTGGGCCCTTGGAAGGTGGGGTTCTGGGGGACGGTGGTCCGGTCTCCCTGAGACCCGCCCTGTGACATGACTAACTGTGGGGTTCTTTCACCAGGGTGAGCCCCTCTTGCCTCCCTTACACTGGCCCCTTTGCCCAGAATGACTGCACAATTTTTATCACTTACTTCCAATGAGTGGAGTCAGGGCTGTTATCAAACCCAGAGACACAAGCAAAGGGCAGGGCGTCACGTGGGGGTGGTGAAGGCTTCTCTGGGGACCCTTCAAGCCTGGCTGCCATGAGGTGCCAGGGCAGGAAGCACACTGTCCTTCCTTAAGCTCCCACAGTGTGCCCAGCCCTTGATGGAAGTCTCAATTTAATTATAAATGCAGGCTTGAGGTTGCCAGTATCAATCATCTACCCAACTAATCTATAAACGAGTGCAATCACATTTAAAATGTTGATAGGGCTTTACTGGAACCTGACAAGCTGGTCATTGCATTCAGAGGACTTGGATCCACTCATTTGATTTTGAAAACTACGAGAGATAAAGAGAGTTAAGGTAGAAAATGTCAATACATGGCTGGGCATGGTGGCTCATGCCTGTAATCCCAGCACTTTGGGAGGCTGAGGCAGGCAGATCACCTGAGGTCAGGAGTTCAAGACCAGCCTGGTCAACATGGTGAAACCCTGTCTCTACTAAAAATACAAAAATTAGCTGGGTGTGGTGGTGCACGCCTGTAGTTCCCAGCTACTCAGGAGGCTGAGGCAGGAGAATCGTTTGAACCCGAGAGGCAGAGGTTGCAGTGAGCTGAGATCACATGACTGTACTCCAGCCTGGGTGACAGAACAAGACTCTTGTCTCAAAAAAAGAAAAGAAAAGTCCATACTATTTTAAAGCTATAACAATTGGAAGAGTGAGCTGTACAAAGTCTCAATACAGTTATAAAGCTATAACATTCAGAAGGGTGTGTGTAGGAGGGTGGACGGGTGCTCAGAAGGAAGCTCTAAAGCCACAAGGAGAAATTTCACCCCCTTTGGACTGGACATGGGCTGGGCTCTGGCAAATTGCACAATGCAAGGTGCTGACATTATTGCCCACTAGGTCACATTGCCTAAGAGTAGCAATTTATAAAATCTCATTAGAGAGTGCCTGTGTAAATTCTTTATTTCTGGGCCACCCGTGTACTTCCTCATTAGTAAGGAGGAGAATTAGGTGAAGCTCATGGTTGTGGATTGCTGCAGTTTGCACAGACTTTACAAAAAGAGCTTCAGCTGGTGTCCTGCCCCTCTAGGGCACTCACTGGGGCTTTCACGCTGGCATTGGAAAAGTGGGCATCGGCAAGTTCCGTGGCTGAAGAGGAAAAAGAAAAGCAAGCTTTCACCCGCCCTGGGTGAACTGTGAATTCTAAAGTGTGTCCCCAGGAATATTGGGAGACCTCAGCAGTTTACACTTGGTGGGTTGAACAGGGTTTGTTAGTATGAATTATTCATCCAATATTGAACACCTACCTGTGCACAGCACGCTTGCCTAGTGAAGAGAGCAGGGCTGCTGTTCCTGCTCTGTGCCCGGGTGGGAGGCAGACACAGGGGCTGTCATGGGAGAAGCTGGGCTCAAACAGCCCATGAAAAGGGACCCATGCACAGGCACAAAAGCCCCGAGGAAGAAGCCAGCTTGGTGCACTCGACGGAGCATCACCCACTTGGCTCAACAAATGTGTGGTGGTATGTGCATGTGTGTGTGTGTGTGCATGTGTGTCTCACACATGCGTATTTATCTACATATGCAAGAGGATAGGAAGAAATACAGGAAAACACTTTTGTAATCTTGTGGTTGAGAAAGCTGGCATAAACAAGGCACACAATGCCAGACACTATGGCCTTCAGGCCTCCCTGCCACGGGGATGCTGCCTTTTCTGCTCCGGGTGTTTCCACGAGGCAGGCATGGAATCTTCCCTGGACAAGCGACATACCGTGGAGAGACAGGTAAGAATTTCTACACATAGGAAGGGTGGAGCAGCCATGGTCTTAGATGTGAGCCCAAGGGAAGACAGCCTGATATATTTTACTGGGCCATATTTGAAATTTCTGCACAGCGGAAGACACCATACAGTAAACACAGGAGCCTGCGAGAGAACCTCTGCCGAGCACCAGTGAACGGCCAAGTGACACGAGTGACACCATGAGCTTGGTGCCCTCTCCATCCCAAGCCAGAGGCGGAAGCCAGGCCCTTCCTCCCAGCCCAGACTCCTACATCCCAAACTTGAGCCATGGCACACATGCTGGGCACTTACTCTGTGCATAGCAGAGGGAGCTGAGCTGCATCCAGAAACAGACCTAGGAGCTCACAGACCCAAGGCCTGGGTCTCCACCCCTGGAAGAGGGTGGTGCCGAGAGCAGGGCCCCCGGCTGTCACTGGCCCGGAGCTCACCGTGCAGGGGCAGCCCAGGCCCTCCGGGGATGGCACTGGGGTGTCGGAGGCCAAGGAGCAGAAACAGCTGTGGATGCTTCCCTCGGAGGACTGGGTGGGGCCGGGACCACCAGGACCTGCCCACCACCTTCTCTATGGGGCATCTGGCTGTGTCTGGGAGTATCTTGTGGAAGGGTCCTTTTTACCATGTGGGATCGGTGGTCCAGACTTGTCTGGGAGCCAAGGATACCAGGCATGTCAAGTAGGCTCTTCCAGAAGGTTTTCCCTCCTGGGATGTCTGTGTCTCTGCCCCTCTCCTGCTGCCTGCATCAGGAAGGGAGGGAGCAGATGGGCTGGTGAAGTGAGCAATGTCAGTCACATGCATGGACTGTCCAGGGCTCATTCTGTGCTGAGGGTCCTCCCGTGAATACGTGGCTCACCAGCGTCCCACCCCATAGAGAAGGTGGGGGGCTGGCCCTGGCAGCCAGGGCTGGAGTGGGAGGAGGTTGACCAGGAGCATGGGGGTGAGGGAGAAAGAGAGAGGGACCCCACTGTGCTGCCCTAGCACAAGGGACACTGGTCTTCCTGATTCCTGGCCTTCCACGAGGTGGGACGCCCCTCCTTCTCTGGGCTCCTTCTCTGCCCCGCGGGGTGGTGGATGCAGTAGGGACCTTCCACCTCAGGACCTCAGGAGCCGCATATGTGGTACACAGTGGGCCTCCTCGACAGCTGCTCATGAGCAAACAGGCCCAACTCCTTCTGGTGGCAAAGACACAGACACACACAGACACACAAGCACACACAGACAGTGACAGGACAGAAAGGAACCTTCCCCGGGGTTTCCCAGACACACCCAGATGTCTACCTCAGCTCTGCCCCAAGTCAGAGGATTGCAGCAATTCTTACCGTGAAGAGTGCTGGGGAAACCACGTCATCAACCCCGATCCTCTCGTTTTCATTTCTGGGTTCTGACAACAGCCCCAGCTCCACCCCTTGAAACAAGTGACCGAAAAATGGACAACATGTAGTCACTCTGGGCAAAGAGGCCACCCCAGTGGGGGTATGGGGGACAGAGGGCCCCACCCTGGGAGGACAGCACTGTCCCCTGTCCAAGGGCAGGTGCAGCCACCTCCTCCACCTCCCTATTCCCCCCACCCTTTGTCCCCCCCGCCCCCCCGAGCTTGGCCCCTTTGCTTGGAGAGATCCTTTGGTTTTTTCGATCACTTGCTTCTAGGCTGAGGAGGGCGGGGCTGTTGTCAGAGCCCAGAATCAAAGCCAGAGGAGCAGGTGGACGCTGAGGCTGTCCCCTCACCCTGCTCCACGGGCAATGTTGAAGTGGGCATCTGGGTGTGTCTGGGGTATCCCAAGGAAGGGTCCTTTTCGTCATGTCACTCTGTTGGGGGCGGGGCACAGGAGCAGGGAGCCCTTTCTCTCCCGAGCTCCTCAGACTCCCAGCTTCCCTGGGTCTCATCTCAGAGCTTTGCCTATGACCTGGGAGCCCTGTGGGTCCAGGGGAGGGGACTGGACGCAGCCCCATGACAATGCTCAGACCTGGGCTAGGAACTGGAAGCCTGTGGTTCCTCTGGGCTGTAGGGGTTGGGGCCCCACAGTGATGGCAGAGCCAGGACCTCATACACAGCAGCATGGACTCCAGACCCGAGCGGGACCTCCGTTCTGGTCCCAGGGTGACCTGGGCTGAGTGGCCCAGCAATCAGGGACCACTTCAGGGTCCCTCTGCACTGGTCTGTCCCTCTCACCCAGTCTGGACCCCTGTGGGGCACTTGCCCTGTCCCCAGTTTTCCTTACAGGGGACCTGGGCAAAGCCCAGGGAAGCTTGCACCTGTTAAGGAGGCCATTCTCCTGCCTCCCCCTTGGGGATCCAGTTTCTTTCTCTCGCCTTGGACCTTCCCCAGGATCCTATGGAAACTCCAGCAAGACCTGGTATTTTATCACATTTTCACAGTTATCGCATTGATTGTTCAGCCAACATTCCAGGGACAGAAATGGGGGAGGGGCTGTCCTTCCCCAGGAAAGGGTGGAATCTCCTTCCGTCTTCCTTACAGTTGGCCTAGGGAAGGTGCACACTCTTAACCACCCCTGGGTTCCCCTGATGCCTTGAAGACCCTGCCTTGCCCTGGCTGCAGGGGGACCAGGAAGGGGCCAGTTGTGTCTGGGACATTCCTGCCGGGAGAGAGTCAGGCCCTAGTGCACAGAAGGATGTGGGTGTGGTCGGTGGGGGCACTGGCAGGGGGTAGGGCACATAAGTCCCTGGGGAGCTCACTCAGAGGTTCCAGGTTGTGGCCCTTATGGAAGTTCCTGGGTCCAGGGGCTAGAGTGAGACTGTTCCCCGCTCATGTCTGGGCTGCAGACGCCCAACCAGTGGCTCCCCCTGTCCACCCTTGGCAAGGGAGGGTCCTGGCCTCCCTCTCTGCTAGTGGGGACCCCCCAACACCCTGTCTTCTCTCCTCTCTGGAGCTCTGCCTGGGTGCATGGCTTGTACAGTGAGTTACTGAGAATTGAACTCTGGACAGTAGCTGGGCCCCACTTTGCTTTAAACATTTTAGTCTGAGGCCTTCTTTGTCATCAGATGAGAAGGTTCACAGATGTGCAGATGTGCTGATAGTCTAACCTGACTGGTTTGTAAAACTAGAAAGAGAAACAGACAATGTGCCTGTTTCTGTGATGGGCCATAAAGTGGATCTTACAGATTTGGAGACATTCTGGAAGATCTGGACCTGTCTGGATCAGAGAGGGGAGGCAGGCATGGGCCAGTCATGAATCCAGTGGGGCTTGGGCCAGCTGGGGCAGCAGGGAGGAGGACGTGCCCAGGGTGGGTGAGCTGGGGAGACCCTGGAACCCAAGGCTGAGGACCCAGAGCCAGGAGATGCAGGAGACGCCCCAGGGATGCTGAACAAAGCGCTGTCCCCTGTTGCAGCTCTCCTGGGTCTCCCCATAGAAAGCTCATGTGGGGGCTGTCCTGACCATGGGTCCAGGGGTGTATTTGCTCCAGGGGCATTTGATGCATTATTGAGCCAGGGGAAAGGCCATCACACTCTGGGCAGCAGGAGCCACCGGGAAGGGTTGGGGAAGGGTTGGATCCTCCCAAAGTTGGTACAAGTGTGGTCTCTGGCCCAGGTGGGCTGTGGGTACTGCGGGGCGTCCAGCTGTGCATGCCTCGAGTGTGAACTGGGAAGGGTGGCCTCTGGTCAGACTCACACAACACACCAAGATGAGCTCACACCAGAACCACCTGAGACTCAAATGGCAGTTGACTGCCCCCAGGGGACATCTTCTTGACTAGAAGAGTCCAACATCTGGAGACAGAATGGGAGGGGTCCTCACGGCAGAGAACAGGGCCTCTTCTAGTCTGTGGCGCCCACCAAAATGGCAGGGACACTGTGCTGAGGTGGGAGGATTGCTGGCCAAAGACAGGGGGGTCTAGTAAGAGCCAGAACAGGGGAGCAGGCAGGACAGGGGACAGCCCCTGGGCCCACAGGGCCAGCACCTTCCAGGGGCAGCTGTGCTGGGTGTAGCAGGTGGACCTGGGAAAGGACGGCGCCAGACCTGCCGCCAGGACTCAGGGGCTCACTTGGGGCAGGAGCACAGTGTCCCTCACATTTCTGCAGGGCCCAGAGGTGGGAGAAAGGGCACAGGGTGGCCCTTCTGACAGGGGGGTGGGGGTGTGTCCCTGCTGGGGACTCTGTTTCCTGGGAGGGCCTGGATCTCTAGGTACCTTTCAGAGCCTTTAGCATCTCCTCTGGGTAATGGGGATGAAAACACTCCTCCCTCTAGTTTACAATTATTAGATACACTGATGCATAGGAGGATGCAGGACCTGCTGGTCTCCCATCTTCACAGCCAGGGAAGAAGATGCAGGACCCTAACAGAGAGCACAGGATGCAGCAGGTGCCAGGGAGCCTGGACCAGGCACATCCTGCACTGGCCACAGGGGAGGACACAGGGGTGGCTGTCCTGGAGCCTGCTCTCTGGACCGCTGAGTGTTATTCAGGGTCTTTCTCCAGGGTGTGGACACCTGTCTTCTCACCTGCCCCCTGGTCTCCTGCCTTCCAGATTCCTGTGGCCCACAGGGAGCAAAGTGTGGCCAGCTCTACATCCCCATTGTCACTCCACAGTGTCTGGTGGTTCAGTGGTCAGAGTGGGCACATCAAAACCAAAGCTTGCCCAGAGGCATGGCAGAGAACTTCCTTGTTCTGACGCTAATGAGGGTGGCACACTCGGCCTGAGCTGGAGAAGGGGTGGGGCAGGGTATCGCTGACTCAGCAGCTTCCAGGTTGCTCTGATGATATATTAAGGCTCCTGAATCCTAAGAGAATGTTGGTGAAGATCTTAACACCACGCCTTGAGCAAGTCGCAAGAGCGGGAGGACACAGACCAGGAACCGAGAAGGGACAAGCACATGGAAGCCAGCCCAGCATCCGGGCCCAGGTATGGGAAGCCCCTCCGAGCACCTCTGCGCCTCAGCCTCCTCTTTGAGCTTTTCTGATGAGCACTCACCTCTCACCCTCAAACCCCTGGGGCCTCTCTTTTCCTCCTGACCCTCTCTCTGGACCTGGCCTCTTGCTCTAGGTTCCCAGTTTTGGTCCCAGCGCTGGTCTCTCCTCCGATGGTACCAATTCCAGGTCTCCTTCCACCTCCCGGGGCAGGTGCACAGGGAGCCTGAAAATCCCAATAGATAATGGTGCTGTGCCCCAGCCAGTGAAGACGGTCAGAGAGGGGATTCTCCTCACTTGTCTTTAAATGAGCATCTACTATTTCTTGCAAATGTTCCATGTATCTGGACTTGGCCTAAGCCCTTTTTATGTTCAGTGTCATCTCGTTCTCCCTAATATTAAGAAAAGGGGGTTGCTTGTAGGACTGCTTGGCTATGAGGAAGCCTTGTTTCCTTTTTTTGAGAACACAGAGCAAGTGAGTGGTAGAGCCCAGATTCATGCCCAGGTCTACTCGAAATGGTGGGGAACATTTTGAACCTTCCTTCCTTCTTTCCTTCCTTCCTTCCTCCTTCCTTCCTTCCTTCCTTCAATTCTCTCTCTCTTTCTTTCTTCTTTCTTTCTCTCTCTCTCTTTCCTTCTTTATTTCTTTTTCTTCTTTCTTTCTCTTCCCTCCCTCCTTCCTTCCCTTCTGTGCTTCCTTCCTTTCTTCCAATATTTCCCTTTCTCTCTTCCTCCCTTCCTTCCTTTCTCTTTCTTTCTTTCCTTCTTTCTTTCTTTTTCTTTCATTCTTTCCTTCTTTCTTTCTTTTACTTCCTTCCTCCCTCCTTCCTTCCTCTCTTTCTTCTTTCCTTTCCTTCCTTTCTTCCTTCCTTCCTCTCTTTCTCCCTTTCTCCCTCCCTTCCTTTCTTTTTTCTTTCTTTTCTTTCTTTCTTCTTTCCTTCTTTCTTTCTTTTCCTTCCTTTCTTTTTTCTTTCTTTCTTTCCTTCTTTTTCTTTTCCTTCCTTCCTCCCTCCCTCCCTTCCTTCCTTCCTCCATCTCTCTTTCTCTTTCTTTCTTTCTTTCTTTCTTTCCTTCCTTCTTTCTCTTTCCTTCTTTCTTTCTTTCTTTCCTTCCTTCTTTCTCTTTCCTTCTTTCTTTCTTTCTTTTGTGCTGCCTCCCAACAGAGATTTTTCTAATTCTGATTATGTCAGGATGCATAGAGAGGGGCTGGGAGAGGTCTTCAAGGTGGGGCTGGTGTTTCCAGCCCAGGAGTCCTGAGCTGCCCCATCTCAATTGCCTGAGAAGCACATTTGGGAGACCTCAGGGCACCCTAAGGGATGTGGAAAATCCTATGAATTACCCGAAAAGAAGTCCCTGGCAGGTTCCTCTCCCCAGTCATCCCCCTCAGGAGTGTCCCTGTCCCGATGCTCGGTGTGGTAGGAGTTAACCCTGCAGGCAGGAGGAAGCCCCAGAGGGTCCATCTCCAGCAGGGGCTGTGGGTGAGCAGAGCCAGGACAGGGGTGCATGGTGAGGCCACAGAATAAGACCCAGCTCTACCCCAGGGAGAGGAGCAGGGTCCTCCTCGGAGGGCCTGAGCACACTGAGCTGACCCTGGGGAGACCCTGACAAGGCTTAGACAGGCCCCAGGGCTGCAGTGATCTCCCAGTGAGCCATAGAAGGGGTCAGAGGGGGAGGTTTGGAAGTGTGCTAAGGGATGTGCGGAGCAGGGGGAAGGAGGGTGGGGTGCAAGGGAGGAAGTGTGGGGAGGGAGGAGGAGGCAGGGCAGTCCAGGAGGGCTCTTCCTCCTCTGGTCTTTTCCCTGGCTGTCCACAGACACTTGATGGATCCACACATATTCACTTCCAACTTTAACAATGGCATTGGAAGGCATAAGACCTACCTGTGCTACGAAGTGGAGCGCCTGGACAATGGCACCTCGGTCAAGATGGACCAGCACAGGGGCTTTCTACACAACCAGGTGACCGACCCAGCCATCCGAATCCAGGCAGGGCCCTTCCAATCCAGGGACATTCATAGGTAGAAGGTTCCGGATTGTACTTGTGGTTTCCTGCAGTGTTTGTCACTTGTGCTTCCTGCAGCTGCTGCTGCTTGGCCCTGGGGTTGGGGGGAGACTTCGGCTTCAGTGACTATCCATGCCCAGGTGGGGTTGAGTCTGCCCAATGGCAAAGTGCTTCCTGAGGACCCTCCCAGGATCCCCTCACAGACACAGCTCTCACCAGGAACAATTCAGCAATGTGGGATCTGAGGACTCAGGGCCTACCTGACCTCACAAGGCCAGGATGCCCCAGTGCCCTCTCCTGGGCTTCATCCTGCACGGAGAGAGACTGAGGCAGGAGAGGCTGACCAGGGATCCTGTCCTGCCCAGGGTGGAGCCCACAGCAAGGCCAGAACAGGTCCCATGTCAGGATGCAGGGATGTCCAGCATTTGGGGAGGAGCTGGGCCAGGCCAGGCTGAGGGGCCCTGAGCCCGGGGGACTTTCTTCCCTGGCCCCTACCCAGCACAGCCTCTGTCTGGAGAGACCAGGTAATGCTTGGCTCCGGTGCTGGAAACTGGGACCTTCTCTGGGCTCTATGAGCTCAATGTGGGCCTCGCTGGATCCACACACACTGCTTGGAACATCCTTTCAAGGGTGCCAGTCTCCATCACCGCCTAAGCAGTGGGACTCCCCCAGGAACGACCCACAGCCCCTTCTCAGCACAAACCATGTCATCCACTCCACCCTGCATCACTGCTGATGGAGTCCCTCCCTGTCTTTGTCCCCATCACAATCACAGTCCTTGCTGCCCTGCTGTCCCCAACTTGACCGATTCCTAGTCTTAGTGGAAAATCCTTTTCTCTGGAGTTTGGAGTAAATACCATATTTCTATAAGTCAAAATAATGACAATTATACCATGTCACAGGGACCTTCCCACGTTGGAGTGAGTCCTGCTGGTCTTCTCTTCCCCACTACTTTTGGTGGAATTCATTTTGGCCTAAGTCTATATCACATTTGGGCTCAGCACAGGTTGTGGCACAGAATAGAAGCTTCTAGAATTATGGGCCACAGATGGGATGGGAGTAGGGGAGTTGATGAGTAGAGCAGGTCAATCTCCCCTTGAAGGAAGCACACTCACTCAGGGCCATCAGGCCAATGACCTCGGGGCTCCGCCGGCCCCTCCTCCCTGCCCCCATCTCTGTAGCCCCTCCCTGCAGGGCTGGGTCTGGGGTGAGGGTCCTGAAGGCTCTGACCTTGGGTACAAAATTGATGGGGGCTCCAAATGCTCAGTAATTAGAGAAAACACATTTTAATTTAATAATTAATGCAATATTTTAAAACGCAAATTTAATACAAATAGATCATGATGAATAAAAGCAAAGATTTTAATAAAGCCTGGCAGGAGAGTGCTGTCCTGTGTATAGTGGAGCTGGGGCAAAATAAAACCTCATTGCTCCTGATCTGTTTGTATTTAAATGGGCAACATTTTGCTTATCTTGGGATTTTTGCATAACATCTGATATTTTTAATATTGCATAGAAAATCATGCATCCTAATAACCGGGGTTTTGGTGACCCCTCTAATTTCGTGCTGGAGGCCCCCGCCTCCCCAGCCCCACCTGGTCCAGGCGCTCCCTCCCTGTTCACCACACATCACCTCACACTCTGTTTCCTTTTCTAGGCTAAGAATCTTCTCTGTGGCTTTTACGGCCGCCATGCGGAGCTGCGCTTCTTGGACCTGGTTCCTTCTTTGCAGTTGGACCCGGCCCAGATCTACAGGGTCACTTGGTTCATCTCCTGGAGCCCCTGCTTCTCCTGGGGCTGTGCCGGGGAAGTGCGTGCGTTCCTTCAGGAGAACACACACGTGAGACTGCGTATCTTCGCTGCCCGCATCTATGATTACGACCCCCTATATAAGGAGGCACTGCAAATGCTGCGGGATGCTGGGGCCCAAGTCTCCATCATGACCTACGATGGTAAGAATGGAAGGTTCAGGTGGGGTGGGGTGGGTGGGGGCAGGAGAGGTTCCTGGGAAGAAAAGGAGAAAGGCCTTGGTCTGCTGCCTGCAGAAACGATGGCTGGACTCTGGGACCTGACTTTGGGGTCGATGGGAAGAGAGAGGCCAGGCCAGGAGATGTGGGCCCAGGGAGGGCAGGGAGAGTGGCTGGAAGTGGAAGCAGAACTTGGGGCTTTCTGAAAGAATGAGAACTGGGCTGGCCCAGATTCCAATGGGAAGGAACTGCCTGATGAAGGAGCTAAGTCCCTAGGGGAGGGAGAGGGAAAGGAGGGACTGAAACCAGGATGTGGGAAGTCTGTCCTGAGAGTCCTGGGCCCTAGGTGCCACCCCGATCCCACAGCGGGAGCGTGACTTATCTCCCCTGTCCCTTTTCAGAATTTAAGCACTGCTGGGACACCTTTGTGGACCACCAGGGATGTCCCTTCCAGCCCTGGGATGGACTAGATGAGCACAGCCAAGCCCTGAGTGGGAGGCTGCGGGCCATTCTCCAGGTGAGGGCTTCCTCCCTCTGCCCGGTGCCCCATCGGCCTCCCCCTCCTCCCCACTCCCCTGGGCCTTGCCTTCCCCTCTGCTCAGAGCCTCCTCTGGGTTCCCTGCTCCCCACAGGGCGCCCAGCTCCGTCCCTCCCTTTCCTTCTCACAGCCTCCTTCTCTTTCCCACCTCCCGCATCCCTCCCTCCTCTCCCGTCATTGTCACTGTCCCCAGGCCACCTCCCTGTGCCCTCTTTCCACTCTCTCACCTCCTGCTCCATTCAACCCCCCTGCTCTTCCAGAATCAGGGAAACTGAAGGATGGGCCTCAGTCTCTAAGGAAGGCAGAGACCTGGGTTGAGCAGCAGAATAAAAGATCTTCTTCCAAGAAATGCAAACAGACCGTTCACCACCATCTCCAGCTGCTCACAGACACCAGCAAAGCAATGTGCTCCTGATCAAGTAGATTTTTTAAAAATCAGAGTCAATTAATTTTAATTGAAAATTTCTCTTATGTTCCAAGTGTACAAGAGTAAGATTATGCTCAATATTCCCAGAATAGTTTTCAATGTATTAATGAAGTGATTAATTGGCTCCATATTTAGACTAATAAAACATTAAGAATCTTCCATAATTGTTTCCACAAACACTAGCAAATGTGTAGATGTCTTTCCTTGTGTAGCGGACCTGTAGCTGGGAAAGGTCACACAACATCCCTCTGGATCCAGAAAACTCAGCTAAACCACACAGGAGAGGAACCTAAATGCAGACCCCACCCTCACTCACAGAGCCCCGCCCACCCTCACTCACAGAGCCCCGGGCGCTGATTGGAAGGGACAGGCCCAGCAGTAAGAGGACAGTCAGCAGCCAGTCTCCCTGTTGGAAAGGAACCACAAACGTGCAGTCAGGGGCCCTCGGGAGCCGCCCTGTGTCCACCCCTTCCTGATTCCACCCCCCTAGAGAGGGAGCCCAGGGGAGGCCATGGCTGAGACCCAGGACAGACCCAGTCGGGGGAAGGAGCCCAGGGAGGGGGCAGGTGTCTAGGCTGGGCCCAGAGAGAGGGCTGGGGAGAGGAGCAGCCCAGGAGGCAGAGCCCAGCCACAGAGGGGAGGGGAGCTGAGTCCCGGGGACAGGAAGCTCCAGAGGCAGAGACGGAGCCCAGGGCTAGGGCGGCAGGTGTCAGGGCTGTGGCTTCAGCTTGGCGTCTGTCCTGGGCCTTCTGCGCTGGTTCCCAACTCTGGGATGTGTTATTTATGTGCCTGATTACAGTGGCGGCTCCCACCTCACAATTTCTGGAAAGTCCTCAGAAGCCACGTATAAGACCAAGAAGGGGCCTCACATGCAGCTGCTCCTGGGCAGAAACGACTCACTGTTTCCCTGGCCTAGACACACACAACACACTAACACACACAAGACACACATACACACAACACACACAACACATACACACACAACACATGCACAAAACACATACACACACGCACCCACACACAGTGACAGAGACTTCACAAAAAGAAACCTCCTCCAGGTTCCCCAGAGCACCTGTCCCCGGACGGGGACTCCCTTGCATGAGACAGCTGGCCAAGGAGAGGACTCCCTTCTCCCCTGCCAGCTTTGTCACCTTCTACTTGTTTTTTTGTTTTTGTTTTGTTTTTGAGATGAAGTTTTGCTCTTGTTGCCAGGCTGGAGTGCAATGGTGTGATATCGGCACACCGCAACCTCCAGCTCCCGGGTTCAAGCGATTCTCCTGCCTCGGCCTCTGGAGTAGCTGGGATTACAGGCATGTGCCACCATGGCCAACTAATTTTGTATTTTTCATGGAGACAGGGTTTCTCCATGTTGGTCAGGCTGGTCTCGAACTCCCGACCTCAGGTGATCCGCCTGCCTCGGCCTCCCAAAGTGCTGGGATTACAGGCGTGAGCCACCAAGCCCAGCTCCTCTACTTGTTTTCTATGCTGTCTGGCTGGTGTCTCTTCTAGTCCAGGTCACCCAGCCCTCTCTCGCCTCAGACCACGGCACCTGCCATTCCCTCTCTGGACAAAGCTTCCCTCGGCTCTTCCCATTGCTATCCCTTCTCTTCCTCAGGATTCAGTTCCCAAGTCACCTCCCCTGGCCTCTTGAAGTGAGCTGCCCACACAGTTCCCTTCTGCCTCATCTCCATGTCTATTTCCTGCACTGTCCTTGTTACAAACTGGATTTATCTTCCCTGTGTGTAGATTCTCATTTCTTGACCATCTGCCTCCACTTCCCGGAAACGCACTGAGGTTGGAGTCTACCGCTTGCTGCCTGTGCCTTGACTGCCCAGCCTTGCCCCCTGGGTAGGAATCCATTTACAATTGTTGAAAGAAAAAAAATGAATGATTAAAAACAGTATAGACCTAGGGCAGTGGCTCACGCCTGTAATCTTAGCACTAGGAGGCAGGGGCAGGTGGATCATCTGAGGTCAGGAGTTTGAGACCAGCCTGGCCAACATGGTGAAACCCCGTCTCTACTAAAAATACAAAAATTAGCTGGGCGTGGTGGTGCATGCCTGTAATCCCAGGAGGATGAGGCAGGCTTGAACACAGGAGGTGGAGGTTGCAGTGAGCCTAGATCATGCCACTGCACTCCAGCCTGGGTGACAGAGCAAGACTCAACTCAAAAAAAAAAAAAATTAATTAAATTTTAAATATAGAATTTTTGTTTTTTTGTTTTGTTTTGTTTTTGACATGGAATCTCACTCTATTGCCTAGGCTGGAGTGCAGTGGTGCAATCTTGGCTCACTGCAACCTCCACCTTCTGAGTTCTAGCAATTCTCCTGCCTCAGCTTTCTGAGTAGCTGGGATTACAGGCATGCGCCACCCTACCCGGCTAATTTTTGTATTTTTAGGAGACACGGGGTTTCACTATGTTGGCCAGCCTGGTCTCAAACTCCTGACCTCAGGTGATCCACCTGCTTCAGCCTCCCATAGTGCTGGGATTACAGGCATGAGCCACTGCGCCCAGCCTATAGAATTTTTTTTAATTCTTAAGATTTAAATACGACAATATGCGAACACCAAAGTGTGTACTCCCCAACTTAAGAAATAGGCACAACACAACTCCTAGCCACCCCCCTCCCCATTCATCTGCAAAGTGAGTCTAGGGAGGTTCTTGTGATTCTTTGGCCCAATTTTTTTCCTGTCCAATACTTTTATAGCAGAGATGATAGAATGTAACAGTTAAAAGCATGGGCTGTGGATGCAGAATTCCTGGATTCAACTCCCGGCTCTTCCTCCTCCTACCTGTGTGACCCCCTATTGAGTGACTCACCCTCTCTGTGCCTTGGCTTGGAGCTCATTAAGGCAGGTAAAGTATTCAATGGATGGACCCAGCCACAGCCATGGCCAACAGGTAATAAATAGTGCTATGCTGGAAACTATCTTGTGCCCAGAAGTTGGAGTCCTGCGTCTTTCCTTATAGTATAGTTACAAACATTTCCCCACATCTTAGGAAAAGGCTTCAAAAGGCTGCATAATATACGTGTGATAGCCAGGTGTAGTGGCGCCTGCCTGTAATCCCAGCTACTCGGGAGGCTGAGGCAGGAGAATCACTTGAACCCGAGAGGCGGAGGTTGCAGTGAGCCGAGACTGCGCCATTGCACTCCAGCCTGGGCAACAAGAGCGAAACTTCATCTCAAAAAAATCCATGCCTGGAAAGCCCCTGATCTACAAGTTCTCACCAACCCCCAGTGGAGCACAGTTAGGTAGTTTTCAAATTTCCAGTATTGTCCATGAAGCTGCGATGTGGGGTTTCATAATTGCTTAGGCATTTTGGACAGATGGTCGTAGAACATTTCCTAAGAACTGAACAAAGCTTTTGATGCACTTAGCCAAACCCGCCTATGAAAATCTTCTTGGAGTTCACTGTCCCCACGGAAGGGTGTGAGGACCTGCCTCCTCACCCATCTCGCAGCTCCTCTGCATCTGGGCATCCCCAGTGAAACTGTGGCACTAGTTGGGGAAGAACAGAGCCAACCCAGGGGCCAGCAGGAGTCCAGCCCCAAACCAGGACCCGGCCACTGTTTTGGAACCAACTCCTTCAGTGTTACCCTACAACACCCTCGCCCCATGAAGGCTCCACCTCCAGCCCTGGGCTCGCCGGAGTTACCCAGTCAGACGATGCCATTTCTGCTCCCTCCTGAAAGAGGAAGTGTCCAGGATGAGAACTTCAGGCAAAGAGGTGCCTGTGGATGGGCAGTGGGAGAAGACTTGGAGACAGAGCATCTGTGGCTAAGGACAGGGAGATTTGGGGTGGTCATCACAAAGAGGAGGGCCTGAGGGAGGGAAGGCACCGTTCCTGGGGCTGAGAAGTGACCCCATCCCTGACTCTACACAAGGAAAAATGAGATGTGGCCTCGTGGACTAGGCTGGATTCGGGGCAGAAGGTCCTGGAGACCACCAGCAAAGAAAGCAAAAAGCTTTCCAGGCTCATCCCAGGTGGTCGGGGCCTCAGAGATGAACAAGTGCCTGCCAGGGCTGCAGGGCACCCGTCTGTGTCTTCCTTTCATCTCCCCTCTGACCTCTGGATGCCAGATGTCTCCAAAGGACTTCAACTTTTTTTTGTTTGTTTGTTTTTGTTTTTTGAGAGAGTCTCACTCTGTCACCCCCGCTGGAGTGCAATGGCACCATCTCAGCTCACTGCAACCTCTGCCTCCCGAGTTCGAGCGATTCTCCTGCCTCAGCCTCCTGAGTAGCTGGGATTACAGGTACGAACCACCATGCCCGGCTAATTTTTGTATTTTAGTAGATGGGGTTTCACCGTGTTGGCCAGGCAGGTCTCGAACTCCTGGCCTCAGGTGATCTGCCCGCCTCAGCCTCCCAAAGTGCTGGGATTACAAGTGTGAGCCACCGCGCCTGACCTGGACTTCAACTTTAACTATGAAAACCTACAGCTGGCCAAAGGGCGAGGGGAGACTTGCCTATCCTACCATGTAGAGTGATCAGATGGTGACACCCTGTCCTGCTGGACACCAGTGTCCTTCACAACCAGGTGTTAGCTGGGGATGGACACAGGAATCCCAGATTGGTAGGGAAAGGGGAGCCCCCCACAAGACCAGCTTTCTTCCTCCCATCAGGCTCAGACCAAACACATTGCACAACGCAGTTGCATGGAAGCCACAAAGATGGAAACCCAGGGCCTGGGGCCCTCTGGGAGGGACCTACACACGATCATAGCCCCCCCGACAATGCCTCGTGTGCCCAACACCAGCCCACCAGGTAGCTAGAGCCATTCCCTCTGGTCACTGGAGCAGAGCAGCCACCACAGCCTCCTGCAACACACCCTCCCATGCTGCGCCCACCCGCCTGGGCTCTCCCACCTCCCTTTGACCTACCTTGTTCCTGGGCACAGCCCCCTGTCCTGGCTGCAGATCTCAGGGTAACAGACCTCCACACAGCTGCTGATGCAGAAGTCCAGGCTGCAGTGCCCACAAGTGGATAGAGGAGGGGGTACGTGGGATGGAGGGGCTCACTATGGGTCCTCGTTGATTTCCCTACACTGTGATCTCCTGGAGGGAGGACCATGTGCCATCCATCCTTGCATCCCAGGTTCCTGCCTGAGCCGTGGCCCTGAGTGGGTGCTCTTGGGTTACTGTTGAAGGAATGAAGGAACTAGTATATGAATGAACCAGTTGTCCTTCCTTGCCTCCCCCCTTCCCTCCCTCCCTCCCTCCCTTCCTTCCCTCCCTTCATTGACCCTTCCTTCCCTCCCTCTCTCCCTCCCTCCTTCCCTTCCTTCCTTTCTTCCTTCCTTCCCTCCCTCCCTTCATTGACCCTTCCTTCCTTCCCTCCCTCCCTTCATTGACTCTTCCTTCCTTCCCTCCCTCTCTCCCTCCCACCTTCCCTCCCTCCCTCCCTCCTTCCTTCCTTCCCTCCCTATCTCCCTCCCTCCCTCCCTTCCTTCCTTCACCCTTCCCTCCTTCCCTCCCTATCAGGGGACCTGGTCCGATAATCATGTAGGTTCTTTTCTATTTTCTTAAGTGTCGGCTGGCTTGAGAAATAAAGGGACAGAGTACAAAAGAGAGAAATTTTAAAGCTGGGCTTCCGGGGGAGACATCACATGTTGGTAGGATCCGTGATGCCTCACAAGCCGCAAAAACCAGCAAGTTTTTATTAGGGATTTTCAAAAGGGGAGGGAGTGTGTGAATAGGTGTGGGTCACAGACATCAAGTACTTAACAGGGTAATAGAATATCACAAGGCAAGTGGAGGCAGGGCGAGATCACAGGACCTCAGGACTGAGGCAAAATTAAAATTGCTAATGAAGTTTCGGGCACCATTGTCATTGATAACATCTTATCAGGAGACAGGGTTTTAAGAGCAACCCGTCTGACCAAAATTTAGTAGGCGGGAATTTCCTCTTCCTAATAAGCCTGGGAGCGCTATGGGAGACTGGAGTCTATCTCACCTCTGTAATCTCGACCATAAGAGACAGGTACGCCCTGGGGGGGCCAGTTCAGAGACCTACCCCTAGGTGCGCATTCTCTTTCTCAGGGATGTTCCTTGCTGAGAAAAAGAATTCAGCGATATTTCTCCCATTTGCTTTTGAAAGAAGAGAAATATGGCTCTGTTCTGCCCGGCTCACCGGTGGTCAGAGTTTAAGGTTATCTCTCTTATTCCCTGAACAATTGCTGTTATCCTGTTCTTTTTTCAGGGTGCCCACATTTCATATTGCTCAAACACACATGCTGTACAATTTGTGCAGTTAATGCAATTATTACAGGGTCCTGAGGCGAAATACATCCTCCTCGGCTGACAGGATTAAGAGATTAAAGTAAAGACAGGCATAGGAAATCACAAGGGTATTGATTGGGGAAGTGATAAGTGTCCATGAAATCTTTACAATTTATGTTTAGAGATTGCAGTAAAGACAGGCATAAGAAATTACAAAAGTATTAATTTGGGGAACTAATAAATGTCCATAAAATCTTCACAATCCACGTTCTTCTGTCATGGCTTCAGCTGGTCCCTCCATTTGGGGTCCCTGACTTCCCACAACACCTCCCTCCCTTCCTTGACCCTTCCTTCCCTCCTTCCCTCCCTCCCTCCCTTCCTTTCTTCCTCCCTTCTTCCCTCCCTCCCTGCCTCCTTCCCTCCCTCCCTCCCTCCCTCCCTCCCTCTCAGGAGAGAGCAGCACACTGGAATGGCTGAGCTTGAGGACCCCCCATCTGGCTTGCACAGTCACCCAAACCACCACCCCTCCCCTTCCCTCCTCTTCTGCCTTGAGGAATCTGACTGTCTGGAAACTTGTTTCTCCTTCTCCATGAACATTCTAAAGCCACTGGCCATGCACTGGTGCTACCAGGTCACCTGGAGCATCTCCTGGAGCCCTTGTCCTTAATGTGCCCAGACAGTGAACAGCTTCCTGGCTGAGCATGTCAACGTCAACGAGAAGGCTTGAAGCCTGACCCCTCCACTGCCAACAGCCAGAAATTGCAGGAAATGAGGACCCTGCACCGGGCTGGTCAGCTGTCATGTGGGATGTCAGGGGGAGGCTTTGGGCTGAAGGGTGGTTGGGAGCCGGTGGGGAGAGTCCTTGGCTAGGACTGTAGGTGACACCAAGGACAAGACTCAGGACGTGGAAGACTCAGGACGTCCACATGGAAAGGATGCCAGGGCCAAGGCCGAGAGGTGCTGGGGAGGGCTCCCCACCTGCCCCACACACCATGGCCTCAGCCCCTGTGACGGAAGCTGACTATCTCCCCCTCACCGCAGTGTTTAGCCCTGCTGGGAAGACTGTTCAGACCACCAGGGAAAGCCCTATGAGACCTGGTCCTGCCTGGAGACGGATGGACGCCACCAGCCTGTCCTGGGTCACAGCTGTCCCCAGGGCTCTTCTCTCCCTCTGTACCTTGGCGGGCCCCATCCTCTCTCCATTTCCTCCATGATAGCCACTTTCCAGATTTCTAATGCAATACGTTAGTTTAGCTTTTTCTGCACTTGCTCTAAACACCAGCACATAGTACACAATCTTCTGTGTGTGGCTCTTGTCACTCAACCCTATGTTTGCAAGGTTCACCCATTCTGTTTATCACGGTTGCAGGTCAATTCCTATTGCTGTCCACTATCCCACCCGTGAATACCCGGCACTCACTTTGCCAGTTCTGTTGTTGATGGGCATTTGGCTTTGGGTGTGATGACTGTGGCAGAGTGGAGGAAGACACGAGGGGAGCGAGGGGGCCGGGGGCCGCTGGGACCCGGCTTCACCAGGACCATGTTCTCTCTGCAGAACATTGTTCATTTATCTACTCAGTCTCTTTGATCTTTTCCAATCTGGTATGAGAATGGGCTACTGTATAGTATTTCAATGGTTACTAGGGGGAGATTAAACTGATGTCTTTGTTGTTTTAAACTGTTTTGTTTGTTTGTTTGTTAGTGGTGGTTTTCTTTTTCTTTTTTTTTTTCTTTTCTTTCTTTTTCTTTTTTTTTTTTGAGATGGAGCCTTGCTCTGTCACCCAGGGTCGAGTGCAGTGGCGTGATCTCGGCTCACTGTAAGCTCCACCTCCCAGGTTCAAGCAATTCCCCTGCCTCAGCCTCCCGAGTAGCTGGGACTACAGGCAACCACCACTACGCCTGGCTAATTTTTGTATTTTTAGTAGAGGTGGGGTTTCACCATGTTGGCCAGGCTGCTGTCGAACTCCCAACCTCATGATCTGCCTGCCTTGGCCTCCCCAAGTGTTGGGATTACAGGCATGAGCCACCACGCCTGGTCTGTTTTAAACTGTTTTTTTTTTTTTTTTTTTTTTTTTTCCCAAGACAAAGTCTTGCTGTGTCGCCCAGGCTGGAGTGTAGTGGCACGATCTCGGCTTACTGCAAGCTCCGCCTCCTTGGTTCACACCATTCTCCTGCCTCAGCCTCCCAAGTAGCTGAGACTACAGGCGCCCGCCACCACACCTGGCTAATTTTTTGTATTTTTAGTAGAGACGGGGTTTCACTGTGTTAGCCAGGATGATCTCGATCTCCTGATCTCGTGATCCACCCGCCTCGGCCTCCCAAAGTGCTGGGATTACAGGCATGAGCCACCGCGCCCGGCCACAAAGTGTTTTTAAGGAAATTTCTATCCACTCTTACTCCCTTTCATCCCGTAACACGTAGCTCTACTAGCCTGCTATTGGGCTTTCCTGCTAATGAACAAAGTTCCATAGCCTCATTCTAAAAATTGTGCACATCTTTGTATATACGAAATACTATAAGATAAAGATGAAGATGTCCCCTCTCCCCTGCAGCAACTGAGGGGGGAGATCTTGCTTTTATAGAACGAGTTCAATGAATCTGAACGTAAGAGTAAAGTCTGGCCGGGCATGGTGGCTCATGCCTGTAACCCCAGCACTTTGGGAGGCCGAGGTGGGCAGATCACCTGAGGTCAGGAGTTAGCAGAGAGCAGAGAGCAGCCTGGCCAACGTGGTGAAACCCCGTCTCTACTAAAAATACAAAAATTAGCCAGACGCGGTGGCGTGCGCCTGTAATCCCAGCTACTCGGGTGGCTGAGGCATGAGAATTGCTTGATCCTGGGGGGCGGAGGTTGCAGTGAGCCGAGATCGTGCCACTGCACTCCAGCCTGGGCAACAGGGCGAGGCTCCGTCTCAAAAAAAAAAAAAGAAAAGAGTCAAGTCTGATATTGACAGAGCATCAGTCCTGATTTTATGTGCTATTGGATACTGGTAGGAACGCTTGTCACTGTTACCAAGCAGCACAAGGGGAGCAGTGTGAGTGGCAACTCTGCAGCCGGCTGCCTGGGTTTCATCCTGCTTCTGCCACTTACTGGATTGTGGCATTTAGCAAGTTACTTAGCACCTCTGTGCTTCAGTCTGTCATATGAAATGGAGATGATAATACAACTTCTTCATTGTGGGTTGTGAGGCTTAAACGAGTTTGTTCATATTCATATTATAGCTACATATATTATAAAGAGCACCTGGCCCATAGTGAGCCATTTAGAATATTGGTTTGTTATCTATCACCAGAAATCTGTCCCTGAAAACAGAGTGTTAAAAATCATCTTGATGGTCGGGCACAGTGGCTGATGCCTGTAATCCCGCACTTTGGGAGGGCGAGGCGGGTGGATCACCTAAGGTCAGGAGTTTGAGACCAGCCAGACCAATATAGTGGAACCCTGTCTCTACTAAAAATATGGAAATTAGCCAGGCGTGGTGGGGTGTGCCTGTAGTCCCAGCTACTTGGGAGGCTGAGGCAGGAGAGTTGCTTGAACCCGGGAGGTGGAGGTTGCAGTGAGCTGAGATTGCGCCACTGCACTCCAGCCTGGGCGACAGTGAGATTCCATCTCAAAAAAAAAAAAAAAATCATCTTGCAGGCAAGGTGCAGTGGCTCACATATGTAATCCCAGCACTTTGGGAGGCTGAGGTAGGTGGATCGCTTAAGCCTAAGAGTTGAAGACCAGCCTGGGCAACATAGTAAAACCCTGTCTCTACAAAAAATACAAAAATTATCTGGATGTGGAGGCGTGCACCTGCAGTCCCAACTACTTGGGAGGCTGAGACAAGAGGATCACCTGAACCTGGGGAGGTCAAGATTGCAGTGAGCTGTGATTGAGCCACTGCACTCCAGCCTGTGTGACAGGGCAAGACTGTATCTCAAAAAAAAAAAAAAAAAAGAAAAAGAAAAAAAATCATCTTGCAAAAGTTGTATAAGACCCATACACAGAAAACTACAAAACTCTACTAAGAACTAAGAGAAAGTTTTTAAAAACACCTAAATCAATGGTGAGATATACCATGTTTTGGGATTGAAAGACTTAATATTAAGAGGTTAAATCGGCCAGGTGCGGTTGTGCATGCCTGTAATCTCAGCACTTTGGGAGGCTGAGGTGGACAGATCACTTGAGATCAAGAGTTTGAGACCAACCTGGCCAACATGGTGAAACCCGGTCTCTACTAAAAATACAAAAAATTAGCCAGGCGTGGTAGCGTGCACCTGTAATCCTAGCTACTCAGGAGGCTGAAGCAGTAGAATTGCTTAAACCTGAGGTTGCAGTGAGCAGAGATCCAGCCACTGCACTTCAGCCTGGGTGACAGAGCAAGACTCCATCTCAAAAAAAAAAAAAAAAGTTTACAGATTTGATGCAATCCTAATCAAATTCTCAGGGTTTGGGGTCAGCTCTTCTGCCCCCTTGCGGAAGCTCTGTAATGTGTGCACTAAGTCAGGATGCCCTCCCTTCCCAGCGGTCAGATTTCAGGGCTAGCCACAGAGACCGCCCTGGCAAGTCTGCTGGGAGGAAGTGAGGCAGCAGCCCTTTTCTGGCATGCTCACATCTCCTTGGCGTGAAGCAGCACCTGGGCCTGCAGCTGCCAGGAGCAGTCCTAGATGGTCCCTGAGTGTCTCTGATCCTGAGCCAAGTGTGTGTCTTTAGCTCCTTGAGGAAGGTCCCCAGTAGGACACAATTAAAGTCAGAGGCAAGAACGATGACATGGGTTCTGTCTCTCCTCGTACGCTCCACAGCTCAGACCTGTGGGTTCCAGCTGGCTCTTGCTCTCCCACACCTAGCATCCCTCATCCCTTTCTGATGGCCCCTTGAACCACCCCGCCGCAGACTTCAAGCTCCAACATCACAGGCAGTGAAGACAACATTTTATGGGGGTTGCTTAACCAGCCCCTGCAACTGGATAAGGTCAGATTCAGATTTTTTAAAATTCGTAAACAAAATATATACATCTTAGTGGTTCTGTTTATTGGCTGAACCCCAACTAATACACCCCTAAAAAGCATTACCGTGGCAGGGTACAGTGGCTCATGCCTGTAATTCAAGCATTTTAAGAGGCAAAGTTGGGGCCGGGTGCAGTGGCTCACGCCTGTAATCCCAGCACTTTGGGAGGCTGAGGCAGGCGGATCACAAGGTCAGGAGATCGAGACCATCCTGGCTAACACAGTGAAACCCCATCTCTACTAAAAAAAAAAAAAAAGAATACAAATTTGGCCGGGCGTGGCGGTGGGCGCCTGTAGTCCCAGCTACTTGGGAGGCTGAGGCAGGAGAATGGCGTGAACCCGGGAAGGGGAGCTTGCAGTGAGCTGAGATTGTGCCACTGCACTCCAGCCTGGGCAACAGAGCGAGACTCCATCTCAAAAAAAAAAAAAAAGAGGCAAAGCTGGGAGGATTACTTGAGCTGGGGAGTTTGAGGTTGCAGTGAGCCATCACTGCACTCCAGCCTGGGCAACAGAATAAGATCCTGTCTCTAAAAAATTAAAAAATTAAATTTAATTAATTAAAAATTTAAAAATTAAAAAAATGTTTAAAAAGCATTATTCTCTGCTGGGTTCGGTGGCTCACACCTGTAATCCCAGCACTCTGGGAGGCCAAGATGGGCATATCACTTGAGGTCAGGAGTTGGAGACCAGCCTGGCCAACATGGTGAATCTCCGTCTCTACTAAAAATACAAAGATTAGCCGGGCGTGGTGGCAGCTGCCTCTAATCCCAGCTACTCGGGAGGCTGAGACAGGAGAATCGCTTGAGCCCAGGAGTGGGAGGTTGCAGTGAGCCGAGATCGTGCCATTGCACTCCAGCCTGGGTGACAACAATGAAACTCTGTCTCAAAAAAAAAAAAAAAGAAAAAAGCATTATTCTCCTACATCTCTCCAAAATTACTTAAAATATTTTAAGGGACAAATGGATATCGATTTCCAATGAGTTCAGGGTAGGCTGTGCTGCTAGACACGGTGGTGTCCGTATTTGAGCTCGATTCCCGTTCTTGCTAGGGTAGCACGTTATCGCTCCTAAATCATTCACGCGTTAAAGACAAAATCATAGTGTGAATTAGGCACACTTAGAACTCAATGATCTTTTTTTCTTTTTTTTGAGGCGGAGTCTCGCTCTGTTGCCCAGGCTGAAGTGCAGTGGCACGATCTCGGCTCACTGCAACCTCCGCCTCCTGGATTCAAGCAATTCTCCTGCCTCAGCCTCCAGAGTAGTGCTCTAGCAAATTAACTGAACCCAAAGAATGGGTCATGGGAACCTCAACTTGAAGCCTGTTGGTCAGACACTCCAGATGTCTGAGCTTTCTACTGGTGTCTAAAGCAGGGGCAGTTTTGGGGACTGGGCCCTCAACCTGTGAGATCTGACACCATCTCAAGGCAATGTTGGATGTGACTGAGAGGACACCTGGCTGGTGCCTGCTGAAGAATGGATTGCTTGTTTGTTGGTGGGAAGAAATCCCCCACATTTGGTCACAGAAGTCTTCTGTGTTGACTGTTGTTGTGTTGGTGCGAGAGCAGAGGAAAAACACGGCTTGAGTTTGTGTGTTTTTCTACACACTCAGTTTCCCAAGCCCTCTTAATTCCCAGCCGTTGCTTGTTGCCTGTTGCTGGGGTCTCCCGGCCAAAGCTGAATGCCTCTTCACAAGACCTTGTCGTGAGTCTTTCTGTGGTGTATCTGTCTGACCCTCACCCATCTGAAGCTTTCTGTAGGATGTTAGGTACATAATCTCTCTTTGACCATGGTTTTAACTCCCGGCCACCAATTCCAGGGCAGATGGAAAAGTCGTGCTTGGCCTTCTAGCACACTTACATAAATATTCCATAAAAGTAAGAATCACCAAAACTGACACAAAATGGAGAAAAATCACTCAGTTAGGTCGATCATCAATGAGGACACTGAAAAGGTAACCAATCCTCACCTAACCTCAGGCCTTGATGGTTTTACTGGCAATTTCTACCAAATTGTCAATGAACAGATCATTCCACATTACAGAGACTATTCCAGAGAAAAGAAAATGATGGGAAGCTTCCCAAATCATGACCGAGGTTTATCACAACCCTGATGCTACAACTGGGCAAAAATAGAAAACAATTTTTTAAAAACTATAATTCATGAGTAATTTCAGTCAATGAGACACAGCAGCCCAGGAACTGAAGAGTCCCTGACTAAAAAGGCATTAAATCTGGCCGGGTGCGGTGGCTCATGCCTGTAATCCCAGCACTTTGGGAGGCTGAGGCAGGCATATCACCTGAGGTCAGGAGTTCAAGACCAGCCTGGCCAACATGGTGAAACACTCCTCTCTACTAAAGATACAAAAATTGGCCGAGCGCGGTGTCTCATGCCTGTAATCCCAGCACTTTGGGAGGCCGAGGTCGGCAGATCACCTGAAGTCAGGAGTTCGAGACCAGCCTGGCCAACATGGTGAAACCTCATGTCAACTAAAGATACAAAAAATTAGCTGGGTGTGGTGGCATGTGCCTGTAATCCCAGCTACTAGGGAGGCTGGGGCAGGAGAATCTGTTAAACCTGGGAGGTGGAGGTTGCAGTGAGCCGAGATCACACCATTGCACTCCAGCCTGGGTGACAGGGCGAGACTCCATCTCAAAAAACAAAAACAAAAACAAAAAACAAAAATTAGCCAGGTGTGTTGGCACGCACCTGTAATCCCAGCTACTCAGGAGGTTGAGGCAGGAGAATCACTTGAACCCAGGAGGCAGAGGTTGCAGTGAGCTGAGATCGTGCCACTGAACTGCAGCCTGGGTGATGGAGCGAGACTCAGTCTCAAGAAAAAAAAAAAAAACAGAAAGGTATTTAATCTGCAGGCCCCAGAGCTGATGGCTTCCCGGAGCTGGGCAGGTCCACACTCCCTCAGCCTCAGGACCAAGTGTCCGTGTGCGTGAGTGACAAGGGGCCTCAGAAGCTACACGTGGGAGTCCTGAGACTTCCGCTCTGTGCTGTTACACACGTTGTCCCACCTGTCCTGTATCTTTTCTTAAAGCCAAGGAAATGCATACTGGGTGAAGCCTATCACGTCTCTTTTGATAGTCAATCCAAATCACAAGCCACTACTACTTGTCAAACAGAATGATATTGCAACTATATCAATAGATTAAAGGAGAAAAACCACATGACCATCTCAATCATAAAAAACAGAAAGCATATGCTATTAAAATAGCATCTTAGGACCAGGCACTAATCCCAGCATTTTGCCTGTAATCCCAGCATTTTGGGAGGCTAAGGCAGGTGGATTACTTGAGGTCAGGAGTTAATGACCAGCCTGGCCAACATGGTGAAACTCCATCTCTACTAAAAATATAAAAATTGGCCAGGTGTGAAGGTGAACACCTGTAATCCCAGCTACTCAGGAGGCTGAGGCAGGAGAATCGCTAGAATCCGGGAGGCAGAGGTTGCACTGAGCCGAGATCGTGCCAATGCACTCCAGCCTAGGCAACAGAGCAAGACTCCATCTCTAAGATAAATAAAATAAATAAAATAAAATAAAATAAAATAAAATATAAAATAAAATAAAAAATAAAATAAGTGAAATGAAATGAAATAAAACAAAATAGCGCCTTAGAAGATGCAAAGGTAGCTTAGAAGCTATCTTAAGAGCTTGAAGCATGCTGCCATGCCAAAGAAAGCATTCCCAGTTCAACAAAAGTCTTAGCAAGCTTTCTTCATCTCATAAAAGGTTTCTAGATAAAAGGTTAGTCTACTACAAGTATCTACTAGATGGTGAAATCAAAGTCAAGAGAAAAGGCTGGCTCCTGAAACCCCAATCCAGCATTGGGCTAGAGGTTTCTGCCAACAGAAAAATGGGCAAATGATATGCACAGGCAATTTATAGAAGAAATGAAATAAGCAATAAAATATGCAAAATTGAACAGCCTTATTAATATACAAGTAAACACTAGTGGGAATATCAACTGGGAATCTCACTTTGGAGAGTGTGGCAGACACTAAAGGCAGGCTCACCCAAATGAATAAAAATAAAATGTAATGCAAATAGTAACCAAAAGAGAGCAGCAGTGGCTACACTAATATCAGATAAGAGATTTTTTTTAACCAGGTGTAGTGGCTCACGCCTGTAATCCCAGCACTTTGGGAGGCCGAGGTGAGCCGATGACCTGAGGTCAGGAGTTCAAGACCAGCCTGACCAACATGGTGAAACCCCGTCTCTACTAAAAATACAAAATTAGCTGGGCGTTGTGGCGCATGCCTGTAATTCCAGCTACTTGGAAGGCTGAGGCAGGAGAATCGCTTGAACCGAGGAGGTGGAGGTTGCAGTGAGCCAGGATCTCACCATTGCACTCCAGCCTGGCCAACAGAGCGAGACTCTGTATCAAAAAAAAAAAAATTTACACACTTAATAACAGACCATCAAAATGTATGAAGCAAAAATGAACAGAATTGAGGGAGAATTAGAGTTCTACAATAATTGGAGACTTCAATACCCAATGCTCAATAATGGACAGAACAACCAGATAGAAAAAAAAGGAAGGAAATAGAGAACTCAACACAATAAGCCAACTAGGTCTAACAGACATATACGGAACACTTCACCTAATAACAGCAGACAGCTGCTGTGGAAAACAGCATGGCAGTTCCTCAAAAAATTAAAAATAGAATGGCCAGATGATCCAGCAATTCCACTGCCGGGTGTACACTCAAAAAAATTGAAAGCAGAGTCTCAAGGAGGTATTTGTACACCCATGGAAGCAACCCAAGTTTTCATTAACACATGAATGGAGAGGCCAGATGTGGTCTACACATACAATGGAATATTACTCAGCCTTGAAAAGGAAGGAAATTCTGACCCACGCTACAACATGGATGAACCTTGAGGATATTTTGCTGAGTAAAATAAGCCAATCACATAAAGAGAAATACTGAATGATTCCATTTATATGACGCACTTAGAATATTCCCAATGGCCAGCCCGGCGCAGTGGCTCACGCCTGTAATCCCAGCAGTTTGGGAGGCCCAGGTGAGCGGATCACCTGAGGTCAGGAGTTTTTTTTTTTTTGAGACAAGCTGTGTCACCCAGGCAGGAGTGCAGTGGTGTGATCTCAGTTCACTGCACCCTCTGCCTCCCCGGCTGAAGGAATTCTCCTGCCTCAGTCTCCCTAGTTGCTGGGATTATAGGGGCCTGCCACCATGCCTGGTGTTTTGTTGTTGTTGTTGACCGAGTCTTGCTCTGTTGCCCAGGCTGGAGTGCAGTGGTGTGATCTCGGCTTATTGCAACCTCTGCCTCCTGGGTTCCAGTGATTCTTCTGCCTCAGCCTCCTGAGTAGCTGAGACTACAAGCGCACACCACCACCCCCAGCTATTTTGTGTGTGTGTTTTTAGTAGAGATGGGGTTTCACCATGTTGGCCAGGATGGTCTCGATCTCCTGACCTTGTGATTCGCCCACCTCGGCCTCCCAAAGAGCTGGGATTACAGGCGTGAACTACCATGCCCGGCCAAGTAGTTTCTTATAAAACTAAACGTGTACTTAATATACAATCCAGCAATTGCACTATTGGGCATTTATTCCAGAGAAATGAAAACTTATGCTCACATTTAAAAAACAAAAACAAAAACAAAAACAAAAACCTGTGTTCATAGCATCTTTGTTCACGATAGCCAAAAACCACAACCAGTCTAAACGTCCAGTGGGCGAATGGTTCAACCTGCTTTGGTACATCCATGCAATGAGTCGTGCCCTGCAATGAAAACGAACAACCTATGGAAACCAGCAACAATTCAGATGAACCTCAAGGGTATTATGCTGAGTGAAAAACGTCAGTGACGAATGATTCCGTATATACATTCCACATATAATCATATACTGATGATTCTATATATATCAAAAGAAATCATATTAAAAGATCCCATATATATATTCTAGATATATATTTCATATAATCATATACTAAAGATCCCATATATATAAAACCTTCTTTTTAATATTTATTTTTATTATTTTATTTTGTTATTTTGAGATGATGTTTCATTCTTGTTGCCCAGGCTTGAGTGCAATGGCGCGATCTTGGCTCACCACAACCTCTGTCTCCCGGGTTCAAGTGATTCTCCTGCCTCGGCCTCCCGAGTAGCTGGGATTACATGGTGGCATGCACCACCACACCTGGCTAATTTTGTATTCTTTTTTAGTAGAGACGGGGTTTCTCCATGTTGGTCAGGATGGTCTCTAACTCCTGACCTTAGGAGATCCCCTTGCCTCAGCCTCCCAAAGTGCTGGGATTACAGGCGTGAGCCACCACACATGGCTTATTTTTTAAATTTTTTCAGATGGAGTCTCACTCTGTGGCCCAGGCTGGAGTACAGTGGTGAGATCTCCGCTCACTGCAACGTCCACTTCCCAGGTTCCAGCTATTCTCCTGCTTCAGCCTTCCAGGTAGGTGGGACTACAGGTGCATGCCACCATGCCTGGCTAATTTTGTAATTTTTTTTTTTTTTAGTCATGACGGGGTTTCACCATGTTGGTCAGGCTGGTCTTGATCTCCTGACCTCAGGTGATCTGCCCGCCTCAGCCTCCCAAAGTGCTGGTATTATAGGTATGAGCCACGGCAATCAGCCATATATATACCTTTTGCAAATAAAATTACACAGGTGGAAAACGTTTTTCTTTTTCTTTTTTTTTTGAGACAGGGTCTCACTCTGTCGCCCAGGCTGGTGTGCGGTGATGCAATCATGGCTCAAGTGATCCTCCCCCATCAACCTCCCTAGTAGCTGGAATTACAGGTGCACACCACATCTGGCTAATTTTGTTTTTGTTTTTGTTTTTGTAGACACGGGGTTTCACCATGTTGCCCAGGCTGATCTCGAACTCCTGACCTCAAGTCATCCGTCCGCCTCGGCCTCCCACAGTGCTGGGATTACTGGTGTGAACCACCACACCCGGCCCGAAAAGGTTTTCAAAATAATAAAATGGGCTGGGCAAGTGGCTCATGCCTGCAATTAGAGGCCTGGAGACATTAAGTAAACCACCCAAGGTCACACAGTAAGGAAGGGGCAGAACTCAGAGTCTCCTGGCTGCAAAGCTGGTGTCCCTTCCCCACTGTGCCTTAACTGCCGCCTTACAGCTGGGTTGGAGGATGCCTCCCTGGTCTAGGGTCATTATTACATTTTCTTCTAAGAAGTGTGTTTCTGATCAACGGAACTGATTATTTTCCATCTATGGTCTTACCCTTTGCCCCCATCTCTTTCTTATGGCAACAGAAAATTTCACCTTCAAGAGGAGCGCCTCGGCCCGGCCGAAGTACCGTCTGGGAAGTGAGGAGCGCCTCGGCCCGGCCGAAGTA